>NC_000005.10:84958291-85261322 GCF_000001405.40 Homo sapiens
AATAGGCAGTGGGGAAAAATGAAGTTATCAGTGCTCTGTGCAAGCATAGTTGAGATTTATGCCATTTCATAGGACATATATTTAGAAAATGGCAACATTATCATGATCTGAGTGTGAAGTTTTCAATCCTGTGGCATCAAAATGCCACCTCTTAGGCATTTGCACAGGTCCAGTTGAAGGGTTGGTGGTCTCTGTTTGAACTGAACAGAAGCTGCCCCCAAGTTCCTGAAAAACAACTTAAGCAACAGTTACCATGGTGACATATACATATTATCTATAAAAAAGCCAGTGAAGGTTAAGTTACAATGTTCAGTGGTGTGGCCTTCAGGTATATGGAAAAAAAAAATAGCAAAAATCAAATGACCAAAATCTCAGTCAATGGTAAAAGACTACATGACTTCCCTCTAAGACTGGGTAAAAAGACAAAGATATCCATGAATATTACTTTTATTAAACACTGTTCCGGAGGTTGTAACAAGTGCAGTAAGGCAAGGAAATGAAATGGAAGGTATGCATATTGAAAATAAATTTTTTTAAAATTGTCTTTCTTCACAAATGACAAGATTATGTACATAGAAAATCATAAGAAAAATCACAAAACAACTTCTAGATCTAAAAAGTGATTTTACTATTACAATTCACATAAAAATCTATAATATTTCTGTATACTGGCAATAAACACTAAGAATTTTAAATTATAATACCATATACAATAGCATCAAAAAATAAAATACTCATCAATAAATTTGACAAAATATATGAGATACATTTTACACTTATTTCTACAAAAATTGTTGATATCAATTTTTAAAATCCTACATAAATGGGAAGATCTACCATGTGTTTGGATGAAAAGACATATAATATTATTACAATAAAAAATTCTTCTCCCCAAACTGATTTATAGACTTGATGTCATCCCTTCAAAAATTCCAAGGAGAAAATTTGGAAACATTGAAAAGCTAATTTTAAATTTTATATAAATATACGAAATCCCAGAAAAGCCCTCAAATTTTGGCAGGTTGAAAAAGAAGGCTGGAGGACTTACATTACCTGATTTCAAGACTTATTGGAAAAACATGTAGCCGGGCGCGGTGGCTCACGCCTGTAATCCCAGCACTTTGGGAGGCCTAATCCAGTGGAACATGAAGTCAGGAGTTTGAGACCAGCCTGGCCAACATGGTGAAACCCCGTCTCCACTGAAAATATAAAAAAAAAAATTAGCTGGGCATGGTGCCACATGCCTGTAGTCCCAGCTACTCAGGAGGCTGAGGCAGGAGAATTGCTTGAACCCAGGAGGCAGAGGTTGAAGTGAGCTGAGATTGACCCACTGCACTCCAGTCTGGGTGACAGAGTGAGACTTCATCTAAAAAAAAAATAAAATTAAATTAAATAAATAAAAAGAAAGACATAGTAATGACAATAGTTCACATAAGAATGTACATGCAGAATAGTAGCCTGGAGTAGAAAGGCTACAGGTAGAATTATACATACATGAACAATTTGTGATTGACAATAATATACAGTGATGAAGTAGCTACATATCTATGTGCAAAAACATTAAGCTTGGCTTTTATCTGATATCATGTACAAAAAATGAAATTTAAATTAATTATAAACCTAAAGTTAAAATGAAAAAACTATGAAAGTATTACAAATAAAAGTTTTCCATAATAAATTTTTGTGTCTGTGGAAATAAGCAAAGATTTCTTAGTAGGACAGAAAAAGCATGAACTATAAAAGAAAAAAATTATAAATGGGACTTTATCAACAACAAAACCTTTTGAGACAAGGGTAAGAAAAGAAAAGGCAACCCAAAGACAGGAAGAAAATATTTTTTATAAATATGACAAAGGATTTCTCAATAGAATATACAATCAACCATTAAAACCATAATAAGAAAGGGAAATAAAATTAAAATAAGAAATTTAGGTTTGATTTTAAAATGACCAAATGATGTTTAACAGATACTTTACAAAAGATATCATAGATGTTATCAAACACATGGAAAGATGCTCAGCATCTTTCTTCATTAGCCATCAAGGAAATGAAAATTAAAACCATAGCAAGATACCACTGCAAACACACTGTAACAGAAAAATTAAAACTACTGGCAATATTACATGCTTGAAAAGATGGGAAGTAACTGGAACTTTCATACATTCCTGGTAGGAATGTACAATATTACATCCCTATGTAAAACAATTTCACAGTTATATATATATATATATATATATATATATATATATATATACACACACACACATATATATGTATGTGTATATGTATGTGTGTGTGTGTGTATATATATATATGTATATATATATATATATACATATATATATATATATATGCGTAAACCCAGCAACACCATCTAAGAGAAGTGAAAATATAAAATTTTCTTTATTTCCAAGGGCCAGAAACTAAAAACAACCCAAATGTTTAACAAAAGGTGAATAAATAAACATATGTATTTGTGGGTCTGTGTGTGTATGTATGTGTTTACACTCACAGTTTAGTGCTACTCAACAATAAGGAAGATCAAACCACTCATCTACACAGCATAGATGAATCTCAGTAATACTATTTTGAGTAATGCTGTAAAACAGTTGTCCCCAAACATTTTGTCACCAGGGAACACTGTCATAGAAGACAATTTTTCCACAGATGGGACATTAGGAGGATCGTTTCTGGATAAAACTCTTCGACCTCAGATCACCAGGCATTAGATTCTCATAAGTAGCACACAACCTTGCATGCACAGTTCACTATAGGGTTTGCTCTCCTATCAGAATCTAATGCCACTGCTGATCTGACAGGAGGCAGAGCTCAGGTGGCAATGCTTGCTTACCTGCTGGTCACCTCCTGCTGTGTGGCCCAGTGTCACAGGATACTTAGGGTGTCACTTTGCCAGCCAGAAACCTCTGTGGCCAGTGAAACCTTCTGCCTGAGTATTGCTAGTGCCTGCTTGGCTCATTCTGCCCCCTTGGCCTGGCAGGCTGTGTTCAGGTCACACTATCAGCCCAAATCCCATACCTCCCGCGGGCAAACCAGGTGCAAAGTGGAGAGGGGTGTGTGGGCGAGCAAGCGTGGGGTCCGGCCACTGTGTCCAGCGTGCTGACTGCTGTGGCAGGGTGGGCAGCTCCAGGCATCAGCACAGGTGCTGGCTCCATATGAAGCTGTGGCTGGACCAGATATACTGCATGCAGCTTCAGTTTTGGGCATCCGCGTGTGGATGAGGGGAATGTGGTGGCACCCAGAGGCTTGGAGACGCCAGTAACCACAGAGCTCCAAAGAGAGTGTCACAGCCCTGGCCCTGAGAACAACTAGGTCTAGGCTCCCCAAAGGGCTGCAGCTCTTCTCTCCTTCTAGTCACCTGCAATGCAGCAAATGGGAGGGCATGTTTTAGCCATTTGTGTTACAGCTCTTTCGGTCCTGCCATTCAGCAAGTTCCAAGTTCTTGTCCTGCATCCATGAAGAATGAGGTACACGGACAACTGGAGGGTGAGCAAAGCTGAGAGGACTTTCACTGAGTGAATGACTCTCAGGAGACCCACCATGGGAAGTTCCTTTCTGCAGGCAGGTTGCTCAATGTCTGTGTGAGTCTGGCTGGGTCTGGGGGTTTTATGAGCTCAGAATGGAGGAAGTTTGCACTGACTGGTCCCTGGGGAGCCATGGGCAGGCCAGAAATAGCACAGGTTTTCACTTGAGGATGTGGACTCCACCTGGAACTGACAGCAAGCCCCCGGGCTTCAGACCATCCCTGGATTAAAGGTGAGGCTTCACCAGGGACCTACCCCTTCCTGCCCAGGGGCCTGTCTGCCTCCTGCCACCACCAATCATGTCCGTGGTGCCCAGGCTGTTCATGCTTAGGGGTGCCTGCAGGCCTGTGCCAAGCTGCCCTCAGGACCCCCTCGAACTCCCTCAAGTCCAGAGGGAGTTCAGGCAGCAGGGACCTGGTATGTCAGTGCCACCTCAAGTACTCACACACCCAGCTAGGTCACAACAGTTCCTGGGCTTAGCCTCAACTTTGCTCCAAAACTGGAGCAAGCACTGGAAGTAGGGACAGAGGCCTGGTAGTGGGAGCAGGTACTTCCAAGCCTGTGGGAGCATGGGGGCTTCTCAGGCCCCTGAGAGTGCAGGGAGGCCCAGGTAGATTTCCCTTAGGTTGTATCCTTTAAGTTTTGCCTGATTTATATAAATTTTCACATTTTATATAGGGACACTTCTAAAATGCAGGGAAGGGGTGACTAGTCACTGACAGGAGAAAAAATTCATGGACATTATAAATGAAGAAAAACATAAAATAATATTAAAAATAATGAGAGATTTTACACTGATCAATGATGATCATGGAGAATGATTAACTCAAAGTTTCTGTAACTAAAAACCAATTAAAATAATTAAGACTTTGGGAGGCCAAGGTGGGGGGATTGCGTGAGGTCAAGAATTGGATAACAGTCTGCCCAACATGATGAAACCCTGTCTCTACTAAAAATACAAAAAATTAGCCAGGTGTGGTGGCAGGCACTTGTAATCCCAGCTACTCAGGAGGCTGAGGCAGGAGAATCTCTTGAACCCAGGAGGCAGAGGTTGCAGTGACCCAAGATCACACCACTGCACACCAGCAGCATGGGTGACAAGACTGAAACTCTATCTCAAAAAAAAAAAAAAATTAAGAAACATCTCCCAAAATAAAAGACGTGTGCATTGAATGATTGAGGAATACATTGTACCTGTATGTAATGAGCTTAGAGTCTTCTGGACCTCAATCATTTGATGTGTCGTATATGCAACCCACACTTACCCAGATTCACTTATTTATTTATTTATTTTGCAGATATAAGTCAGCACAGAGCAGTTTATTTGCACCACCATGGCTATATTACTTGCAAAAAAATTAGTTATTTTAAATTCTGTTATCTTTTTTAAGTATCAAATATGAGTACCTTTCATCTGTAGTCATCATACTATTCAGAACTGTGCTTGCCCTTTCCTGGCATTCAACTCATTGCAAAGTAAGGCAAACAATATGGTTAAATTCAGTCTACTAAATCTTTGTAAGAATTATTTGTCTTAGAGTTATATATTAAGTTCTGCTGAGATTGGATGTACTGTGGGCAGCTGTTGGCACACAGAGAGATATTTGTGTTCTTACCTACTTTTTAGCCACTCTAAATGGTTGGGGTTCTGCTTTCATTTCCTTGCCTCATTCCTCATGTTCCATTTGTATTAGGAAGCATTACTCTAATCTCGCACTGAAACTAAAAGGATGCCTGCCCTTGATAGGCTCCCCACTCCCAACCACTCTCTTTAGAGGAAGATATTATAATTAATACAATATTTGATAACCATGTTTCAAAATGGCTGCACCATTTGATATTTCTCCAACAATTGATGTTAAATTTGGTTTATCCATATCATCACCAACACTTGTTATTGTCTGTGTTATTTTAGCTTCCTGTGGATATGAAAAGGTATCTCCTTGTGGTTTTTAATTTTCGTAATGTACATGCTTTTTTATTTTGAATGATCTGAATCCCAAATAAATGATATTATTTCTGCCTGATTTTGAGGGGAGATAGTTGCAGCTGTTCCCTAGATTTCTGCTAATACAATATAACAGTCTCAGTAGAGGGGCTTACCCAAAATATGCTCAACTTTGTCACTCTCCTTTAGTCTTGATACTCCAAACTACTTGGCTACAATCAGGTCAATCACCCTGCTTAGACTCAACTTCTTTTCTTGTCAATGTAATCTCAGATGCTAAAGTCCTTTATAAGCAAGTCTTGTAGAAGTTATATACACATCTGGTTTAACGACAACAAACTGACTTAAAAAAAAACATTGATTATAAAAGAAATTAGCTGCTAGTGCCAGTCCTAGTGGCTCACGCCTGTAGCCTGTAATCCCAGCAGTTTGGGAGGCTGAGGCGGGCAGATCACCTGAGGTCAGGAGTTTGAGACAGGCCTGGCCAACATGGTGAAACCCTGTCTCTACTAAAAATACAAAAATTATCTGAGGACATGGTGGCAGGTGCCTATAATCCCAGTTACTCGGGAGACTGAGGCAAGATAATCACTCAAACCCGGGAGGCAGAGGTTGCAGTGAGCCGAGATCTCGCCATTGCACTCCAGCCTGGGCAACAACAGTGAACAAAACTCCGTCTCAAAAAAAAAAAAAAATAGAAATTAGCTGCTAGCTTTGCTGGCTTTTAACAAAATAATCCATTCAGATTTTAATGGAGTTCGTAGGAAATTATTCACAGAAAATAAATATCAATACATAACTGAAAATATACTCTGGCAGAAAAGCTGTATCGTGTATAATTAATTGCATTATACAAATTATAATCTTTTATAGATTTTTTAAATTAATGTGAATTAAAGTTAATTTAGAGAATCGGAAATAATAGTTTTTATAATTATGGTAGCATATTTAAGGCTACATTTTCTGAATCTTTAAACTTTGCAAACTGATTCAGCTAATAGCTGGAGACTCAGAACTACACTGATAGCAGATTTCCTCCAGACAATAGAAGATTGAAGAGAAAATTTAAAAACAAATATATAATATTTAAAAAATGTTCTTAATTACACTGATGCAAACACTAAGCAGAATTTTGTGTCTAGTTATAACTAGACTTGCTCTCATTTGTTTATCTCTGGAATATTAACCCAATATTCACTGCAGCTCTCTGAAGATAAGTGACTAAGAAGATGTAACTAGATGATATTGTACATAGACACAATAAATATTTTTGAATTCATGAGGAAAAATAAGTAACTCACTATTATAAAACCATTGAGGCAAATTGATGTATAATGTTTTATATGAACAAACATTTGTAAGAAGACTTAGAAATGAGTCTCTCTTAATTTATAAAATATATTTAATCTAAATAGAAGTAATATTTCAAATGACTGGTAAAGTTACAATTAAATAGAAGAAATAAGCTCTGGTGTTCTATTGCATAATATGATGACTGGTGTTAACAAAAATGCATTGTATATTTCAAAATAACTACAAATTTTTGAAGTTGAATGTTCTCATCACCAATAACATGCAATACATGTTTAAGGTGAGGAATATGCTAATTTTGCTAATTTAATCATTACACAATTTATATATGTATTGGAATATCACATTTAACTTCATAAATATGCACAATTAAGTGTCAATTATAAATATTTTTAAAAGAAAGCAGATCAAACAGATTATGATTGATAAAAGATTCAACAGGCAGAACTTTAAGATTTTCCAGAATTCCCAAACACAGGAAAATTTTGAAACTCACTCACCATGCCTGTTGGAGGCATCTAACTATAAAGTAGTCTAAAAAGTTTAGTCAGTCGAATGAGTTTGGTGTGATCCAACAATCTTCGGGTAATTAACTGCAGAAGGAAGCTGTTAAGATCCAGAAGGAAGCTGTTAAGATCCAGAAGGAGGTGAAGTGGAATGGGGGACTGCAACATTTTAGTAAAAGCAGCAGCAGCAGCCAGAGATAGCTGCATGCAGTAAAACAAAAGAGAGAACAGAGAATAGTGATAAGAGATCTTGCAAAATCCAGCCTTTTGTTTTCATTCCCTGAGTGCTTTCATGGGCTTATGTGATATATTTTCATAGAAGGGGTAGGTAGGACCTAGCAAAGAAAGCTAAGTAGTGCCTGCCCATCACCTCTAATATCACCCTACTCTGTCCCCAAATCAGTTTGATTGCAACAGTATAGAATGAGAACCCAGGCATGAGTAGACTGCACTTCTGGAAGCCAAGCATTTAAGGAAAGTTCCATCATCCTGAATAAATAATAAAGCATCAAGAAACAAAATGAAACAACAAAATGCAAACATGCATTGTGAGGGGAAAAAAATAAAACTGCAAACACTGTGCCAGGTGACCCTACTATGTGAGGATTAGGATATTTTCATATCACCATTTACTCCCTCCACCGTAGTCCTTTGCCTGCTTCTGCTAGTTACACAAGTCTTGCTTCTCTCCTCCCAAACTCATTTGCAGTCAGTTTTCTGCTAACACACTCTCTGTCTGACCCTCAGGATCTGGCCCTTCCACTCACTATGTGTAGTTGTAGTGAATTCTTTAGGCTTGCATTTGGATGTAATCTCTGGTTATTAATCCATGGCTGAAACTGCCATTACAGTACAGATTTAGGTCCTAATACTTCATAATTTTATGTTTCCTCAAGGTAAGTCTACATCTTTCTTACCACACTAAAAGCTTTTAAGTTCTAAAATCTTTTTTAAGGATAATATCCATCCCCATCCCCAGGCATTTCTGTGACGGCAGCAATATGAGACACAGCTATCCAATATAGCCCATGTTTTTCAAACCTAATAAAACTCTTCCACAAATACAGCTCATGCTAATTAAATTAGCAATCCATCATTCAGTACTTACCTATTTATGGCTTATTCCTATTGAGAACCTTTTTAGATACCAGAAATGCAAGATATGTGTCTAATTTTTATATTTAGGGAGTTCAATATTCTAAAAGATGGGTAAGTGTTATATAAACAATTACCGAAAATATGTAAAGAAAAAATGATACAGAAAAATACAGGGTATTGAAAAATATATACAATAATGTATATTTTCTGAGGAGATAATATTGCTTAATCTAAGTTTTAATTATTATAGCCTATACTGTAGTGATGTTTTAATTAATTATAAGAGGTGAACAATGGCTGGTCAATCACTATTACACTTTAGAAGTACAGAGGGTGAATTGAAGAGACGGTGAGTATATGGAAATTCTACCTGTATGTCTTGACAAATGTGTAATACATCATGAAAAAAGAAATGTATTGAAACTGCTGGGTAATCATCAGCTATTACCTTTATTTTGTGTAAATCTAGGTAAAATAGAAGGATCTTTGCTAAAATATTTATTTTAAGAGAAATACAAATTCCCTATTTGGTATTATCATATTTTATCCAAAGATTTATGAGTGGCTTGAAAATACTTTATAAATTCATATCAATTTATTCTTCCTTTTATTCTGAAGTTATAGAATTGAAAGCAGCAATTTTCAGCCTACCCCATGTTGCATTGCCATCTAGAGAGCCATGGAGTGTAAATGCATATTTGAAACAATTTCGACACTGCACTGCAGCAGTAATTTATTCCAAAGATGTAGCTTCTAATATAGAACACGTTGGTGGATGCAAATTCCTAGTGACAATTGTTTTTTGTTAGTTTGTTTTTGTTTGGGCCTTCTCTAGATAAAATTTAGAGTGAGTTAGCCAAGTGATTGTCCTGAATATTCTACGCTTCCTCTATATAGTTGCTTGTTTTTTTAGATGTTAAAAATACTTTTGAGTATGATTTGTATATCACAATGGTAGAAAGTAGACTTGTTAATATGAAAAAGACAGCCTTGCTAATAGAGACTGAGATCTCCTAATTTTATATTAAGTCAAACTCCAAGCTTGATATATCTCGTTTTTAAAACATGTGGTGAGACCAGTCTTTTATATTTTTTTCCCAAGGAAGGTTACATTATTTAAATGTATTGTTTAAGGGGATATTCTAGTTGGTACTTATGCTACTTATTTGTGTGTGTGTACACACATGCTAAATCTACCCCGTAGCTCTTATTTTAAAAATCCTAGCCTGGCCTCATGTTGAAAGCATTTCTCCCATTTCTCCTAGTAGTTTCACAGTTTTATGCTTTATATTATGTGCCTTTAATCCTTTTTGAGTTGATTTCTGTATATTGTGAGAGGTGAGGGTCTAGTCTCATCCTTCTGCATGTGGATATTCAATTTTTTGAGCACCTTTATTAAAGAGATCATCTTTTCCTAGTGTGCGTTCTTGGCATCTGTGTCAAAAATCAGTTGGCTAAAGGTGCCTAAATTTATTTCTGGGCTCTTTATTCTATTTCACTGGTTTATCTTTATTTTTGTGCTGTTCTGGTTACTGTAGCTTTGTGGTGTATTTTGAAGTTAGATAATGTGATGCCTCTAGCTTTTCTCTTTTTTTCTCAAGATTGATTTTGATTTTCAAGGTGGTTTCATATGAATTTCAGAATAGATTTTTTTCTATTTCTATAAAGAAGGGTCATTGGTGTTTTGATAATGATTGCATTAAATTTGTAGATCACTTTGGGCAATATGGTCATTTTAACAATATTAATGATTCCAATTCATGAACACAGAATATCTTTCAATATTTTGTGTCTTCATCAATTTCTTTCATCAGTGTTTTATAGCTTTCAGTGTAGATATCCTTTACATCCTTGGTTAATTTATTACTAGCTATCTTATTTTTTTGGTAGCTATTTTAAGTAAAATTGGTTTCTTGATTATTTTCAAGATAGTTCACTAGGAGCACATAGAAAATGCAACTGATTTTTGTATGGTTATTTTGTATCCTGTAGCTTTACTGAATTTGTTATTTAGTATTTACTGTTTTTTAATAGACAAATGAAATTGCTTCAAAATAAAAACCTTTTGCACAGCAAATGAAACAATTAAGAGTGAGGAGACAAACTACAGAACGAGAGAAAATATTTGCAAACTATACATGTGACAAGGGGTAAATATCCAGGCTATATAAGTAAATTAACAGCAAAAAACTCAAATAAGTTGATTAAAAATGAGCAAATACCTTAATATACATTTCTCAGAAGAAGATATATAAATGACTAACTAGTATATGAAAAAATGCTCAACATCACTGATCATCATGAAAATGCAAGTCAAAACCACAATGAGACACAGCTCACTCCAGTTAAAATGGCTGCAGTAAAAACAAAGTAAACAAGTGTTGGCAAGGATATAGAGAAAAGAGAACACTTACACACTGTTGGTGGAATTGTAAATTAGTACAGCCATTGTGGAAAACAGTATGGAGGTTCCTCAAAAAATTAAAAATAGAACTACTATATGATCCAGAAATCCCACTACTGGATATATATCCCCTGAAAATTGAATCAGTATTTTGAAGAGATGTCTGCACTGCCGTGTTTATTTCGGCACTGTTTATAATAGCCAAGACACAGAGTTAACCTACATGTCCAACATTGGATGAACGAATAAAGAAAATAAGGTGTATATATATGCAATGGAATACCATTTATCCTTTAAAAATGAATTTCTGGCATTTGTGATAATATGGATGAACCAGGAGAACATTATGTTTAGTGAAATAAGACATATGTCCCATGCATATGGAATCTAAAAAAAGGTTTGTAATATAGAGAATGGAATAGTGGTTACTAGAGACTGAGGAAGGAAGGAGGGAGAGGAAGATGAAGAGAGGTTGGTCAAAGAGCGCAAAGTTACAATTAGAAGAAATAAATTATGGTGTCCTATTGTGCAGTAGGGTGACAATGGTCAACAGGAAGGCATTGTAGCTAATGGTTATAAAGTAGGTAATGCCTACCTACAAAAGAAGTAAAACAGAGGCTTCTAAATGTTCCCACAACAAAGAAATGATAAATGTATGAAGTGATGGATATGCTAACTACCCTGATTGGATCATTATATAACATAAACATGAATCAAAACACCAACTTGTGTGACATAAATATATACAATCTTAATTTATTGACTAAACAATAAATAATAAATAAAAATTTAGCAATAGCACAGTAGCACAAATATACAATGTCTATATACTTCATATACAGAAAAACCTGGATTTGTAAATGTGTTTAATAGAGCACTTATAGAATACAAAGAATATTTTTGTAGACATCTTTGTTTCCTTTTATTGTAAGCCAACCTATGAATATATAAGAAAATTATTCGGAATAAGCAAATAAGGGGATACAATAACATAGATAGTGGAATATAGCAAAAGCCTCATTCAATAAATATATAAACAAATATTATTTTTGCTTGTACTTCAACCCAAATAAACTTTTCTATCCTTTTAGAAATAAGCAATGAAAAATTATAGAACAGATGAAAATTGATGCTGCAGTGATACAGTCTTTTATTTGTGCTCATCAATAGATCTATAGTGGCTGAACAAGTCCAGAAACTTCACAAAAACTTATATTCTTGTTAAATGTATGAATGCATAAATGAATTAAGTGCAAGAACATGTTTTTTAAGGACCCATAATTAATTATATGATTTCAGGGCTCTTTGTAGTAGACTACTGATTATCTATTTATTTATTCACTTTCCACAAAGACAAGAAAAGAATAATTAGGCCCCAAAATAAAAATAAATAAAAAATGATATTCTTAGAAAGGAAGGCATTTATTTGTTCCTCCAAAATAACTTTAATATAGGTAGTTATGGTTTGAATGTGTCCCCAAAATTCCTGTGTGGAAAATAATCCCCAATGCAACAGTGTTAGGAGGTACGGCTTTTTGGAAAATGTTTAAATCATGAAGCTTCCGTCTTTATGAAAAGATTAATTGCACAAGTTACAAAGGGGACTGATGGAGGGAATTTGGCTCCTTTTGCCCTTCCTTCCCTTTTTTCATGTGAGGACATGGCATTTCTCTCCTCCAGAGAATGCAGTAACAAGGCACCATCTTGGAAGTACAGATCAGGCTCTCATCAGACACCAAACCTGCCAGTGCTTTGATCTTGGACTTCTAGCTTCCAGAATGGTGAGAAATGAGTTTATGCTCTTTAAAAATTACCCAGTCCTAGGTGTTTTGTTAGAACAGCACTAATGGATTGCTAAACAGTTGCTTCCTGAGTAAAGATCTGTTAATATTTTGTTGCCATCTTATTTTTACAGAATAGTTTGAAAACTATAGCAAAAATACAGTGACATGTCTAAAACGTAAAATAATAGTTCTATCTAGAGGTAACATCAGAACATTCATTTGACTTAATTAGCAATGGTAACCAAATACATATTTTTACTGAGGACAAATTTAAAACAGTAAAATACAGATATTCTAATTCCACAATTTAATTAAGTTTGATGAATATAAACACAGGTCACCAACAACCTAATTAAGATGTAGAACATTTCCATCACTCCCGAAATGTCCGTCATGCTCACTCCACTTAGCTCCCATTCTCCACAGGAAATCAATATTATGATTTCTAGCACCAGAAATTAGTTTTGAGTTTTGTTCTTAAACAATACAAATGAACGCATACATTATATCCTATTGTCTGTCTGATTTCTCTTATTCAATATAAGGTTTTTGAGATTCATTGGTGCTTTTGTGTATTTCATGAATTTTCAAAATTTCTAGTAGGATTTCAATATATAAATAAAAAATATTTATACATTCTCTAATTGATGTACATTTGGATCATTTACAGTTTGGGGTTATTAAAAATGAACCTCTTGTGCATATTCATTTTTAATTCTGTTTCTTTTGTTTAAATTGCTTTTAATTGTTTTGCTCTAGTTTACTTTTTAATTTAGAAACTTAGAAAATTGATTTAAACTTCATTTTCTAATAGAAACATTAAAATGACCTAAAAATTTTCCTTAAAATTCTTTTGCTGCAATCCAAAAATTCTACTGTATTTTTATTATCATTCCATTGAAATTAATTTCCCTTGAGCTATCTGTTTTAATCCTAGGGGTATTTAGATATATATTTAATTTCTGAATATTTGGGTATCTTTTAAATAACCTCTTTTCATTGAATACTAGTTTTCATTTGTTTGCTCAGTAAAGACGTACGTTGTAACATAGCAATTGTTTTTTGAAATGTATTGAGCCGTATTTTATGGTCTTTTTGTTGAAAAGTCTATGTTCACCTTAAGGAGTGTGTATTTTGATGTTGGGTGATGTCTTATAAAAGTATTAATTAGATTATTTGATTTTAGTGTTAAATGACCTAGATCTCCACTGACTGTTCTTGTTCTATATGGCCGTTGACTACATGCATATTTTTTTCTGTTAAAATGTTACTATAATTTGAAACTATGAATATAGATATATCTCTTTTCATTTTTTTTTTAAGTTTTTGCTGTATGTATATTTGTAAATCTGTTAGTGTCAGTTTCATTCCTGATATTGGGAATTTGTGTTCTCTTTTTATTTTTTCCTGATTATTTTTCTAGATGTTCACAATGATCTTCTCAAAGAACCAGCTATGTTGCTATTAATTTTCTCTATTTTAAAACCTATTTTACAGATTTGTGCTCTAATCTTTATTTTATCATTTCTTCCACTTTGAGTTTCATCTGATCTTTCTTTTTCAAGGTAGGAGCCAAAGGTATTAATTTGAAATATTTCTTTCTTTTTAATACACACACAGTGTTGCATTTTCCAGTGTAACTATTTCTTTAGTTGGAAACCACAATTTTTAAATTTGTAAATAAAATTTCACTTATTTTCTATTTTTCATTTGACTTATTCTTTTACACATGAGTTATTTGGAGGTCTTACTAATTTTCAAATATTTGTCATTTTCCAGGTGTTTCGTGTTACTGATTTCTAAGTTAACTCCATTTTAGAGCACATTATGTATGAATTACTTAAATTCTTGTAAATTTTGTGTATTCCAGAAAGTATAGTAACTTGGAAAATGTTCTATATGCTCTTGAAAGGAATATATATTCTGCTATTGATGGATAAAGTGTCCTATAAATGTAAATTAAATCAAATTATTTGTTTTACTTAAGCCTTCTATAAACTTACTGAAAATCTGTCAATTATTTCTATCAATTATTGAAAAAGTGATGCCAATATCTCTGACTCAGATTGTGGATTTGTCCATTTCTCTTTACAGACTTGTCAGATTTGTCTATATGTAGATTGGTATATGGTAGCTCTACTATGATATGCAAAGCAGTTTCACATCCTTCTGTCATCTTGACAAACTGATCCATTTGTCATTAAAAATTATTTTATTTCTTCCTGATAATATTGTTCACTATGAAAAGATATTTTGTCTGATATTAATATAGTCAACGCTGCTCCCATTTTATTAACATTAGGATATTATATCTTTTCCATACTTTTTATTTTATGTGTACACTTGTATTTACAGTGAATTTCTTCACTGCAGACATAAGGCAGCATATAGTTAGGTCTTGGTTTTATATGCAATCTGATAATCACTCCTTTCAGTTGACATAGAAAATTTACACTTTTAAAAATTTATACTTAAATTTATAGATGTGGATGTCTGCCCTTCTATATTCATGGCAGCATTATTCACAATAGCGAATATATGGAAAAAATCTAAGTGTCCATTGAGATAAAGACATTGTTTTACATATATATGTGTGTGTATATATATGTGTGTGTAGATATATGTGTATATATGTGTGTATATATGTGTGTATATATGTGTATATATGTGTATATAATGTGTATACATATATATGTGTATATATGTGTGTATATATGTATATGTGTGTATATATATGTGTATATATACTCATTAGTAATTTCTCATTTCTCACACCCCTCCCACTCTTTCACCTTTCCAAGGCTGTAATGTCTATTGTTGTACTCCATGTCCATGTCCGTGTGTACACATTATTAACTCCCACTTATAAGTTAAAACATGCAGTATTTGGCTTTCCTTTTCTGAGTTATTTCACTTAAGATATTAGCCTCTGGTTCCACCCATGTTGCTACAAAAGAAATTACTTCATTCCTTTTATGGCAGAGTAGTATTCTTCATGCAGGTATGTATGTGTGTATGTATATTTTATATATATATATATGACTGGATATAGAAAATGTGGTATATGTGTGAATATATATATGTATATACATATGTATGTGTGTATATATGGATGAATGGATAAAGAAAATGTGGTATATATAGATTTATGTATTTGGTGTATATATAGATATAAATATACATACCAATAGATATAGATGTAAATCTAGATATATAGATACAAATATATATATATGTATATATACATACCACATTTTCTTTATTCATTCATCCCTTTATGGACACTGAGATTGATTCCATATCTTTACTTTTGTGAATAGTGCTGCAATAAACATACCAGTGTAGGCATATTTTTTATGTAATGATTTATTATCCTTTGGCTAGATACCCAGGAGGGGAGAATGCCAAATCAAATGGTAGATGTATTTTTAGTTCTCTAAGAAATCTTCATACTGTTTCCCATAAAAGTTGTATTAATTTACATCCCCCCCCAACAATGTGTAGGCATTCCCTTTTTCCACATCCTTGCCAACATTTGTAAGTTTTGATTTTTAATAATAGCTATTCTGAGTTGGTGTAAGATGATATCTTATTGTTTTAATTTTGATTACTCTGATTAGTAAAGTTGAGCATTTTCTGATTTGCTTCTTAGCCATTTGTGTTTTCTTTCTAAAATGCTTATGTTCTTTGCACACATTTTAATGGATTTTTATTTTGTAGTTGAGTTGCTTATAGAATCTGGATATTAGTCTTTTGTCATATGAAGAATTTGCAAATATTTTCTGTCATTCTGCAGGTTTTCTATTCATTCTTTTATTGTTTTTGCAGCCAGAAGATTCTTAGTTTTATTAAGTGCATTTGTTTATTTTTGTTTCTGTTGCATTTGCTTTTGAGGTCTTAGTCATAAATTCCTGGCCTAGACCAATGTCCAGGAGAGTTTTTCTTCTAGGACTTGTATAGTTTCAGGTCTTGCATTAAGTATTTAATTCACCTTGAGTTAATTTGTATACAGTGAGAGATGTGGTCCAATTTCATTTTTCTCCATGTGAAAATCAAATTTTTCCAGCACCGTTTATTTAAGAGAGTGTTCTTTTTCAGTGCATGTTTTTGTCTGACATTGTCAAAGATTACTTGGTATGTGGATGTAGGTATGGCTTTATTTTTAGGTTCTTCATTCTGTTCCACTGATTTATATGTCTATTTTTATACTAGGCCATGTTGTTTTGTTTACTGTAACTTTGCAGTATAATTTAAAATCAAGTACTGTGAAATTTCCAATTTTGTTCTTTTTGTGTATGATAGCTTTGGCTGTTGGAGCTCTTTTTTTGTTTTGTTTCCATATGAATTTTATGATTTTTTCCCTGAAAAACAGAATTGGTATTTTGACAGAAATTGCATTAAATTTGTAGATTTCTTTGGGGAGTATAGTTATTTTAACAACTTAGATTATTCCAATTCATGAGCCTGAGATGTTTTTCAATTTGGGTGATCTACAATTTCTTTTATTTTTATTTTTTATTTTTATTATACTTTAAGTTTTAGGGTACATGTGCACAATGTGCAGGTTTGTTACATATGTATACATGTGCCATGTTGGTGTGCTGCACCCATTAACTTGTCATTTAACATTAGGTATATCTCCTAATGCTATCCCTCCACCCTCCCCCTACCCCACAACAGGCCCCGGTGTGTGATGTTCCCCTTCCTGTGTCCATGTGTTCTCATTGTTCCATTCCCACCTATGAGTGAGAACAGGTGGTATTTGGTTTTTTGTCCTTGCGATAGTTTGCTGAGAATGATGGTTTCCAGCTTCAACCATGTCCCTACAAAGGACATGAACTCATCATTTTTTATGGCTGCATAGTATTCCATTGTGTATATATGCCACATTTTCTTAATCCAGTCTATCATTGTTGGACATTTTTTTTGGCTCCAGGTCTTTGCTATTGTGAATAGCGCTGCAATAAACATACATGTGCATGTGTCTTTATAGCAGCATGGTTTATAATCCTTTGGGTATATACCCAGAAGTGGGATGGCTGGGTCAAATGGTATTTCTAGTTCTAGATCCCTGAGGAATCGCCACACTGACTTCCACAATGGTTGAACTAGTTTACAGTCCCACCAACAGTGTAAAAGTGTTCTTATTTCTCCACATCCTCTCCAGCACTTGTTGTTTCCTGACTTTTTAATGACTGCCATTCTAACTGGTGTAAGATGGTATCTCACTGTGGTTTTGATTTGCATTTCTCAGATGGCCAGTGATGATAAGCATTTTCTCATGTGTCTGTTGGCTGCATAAATGTCTTCTTTTGAGAAGTGTCTGTTCATATCCTTCGCCCACTTGTTGATGGGGTAGTTTGTTTTTTTCTTGTAAATTTGTTTGAGTTCACTGTAGATTCTGGATATTAGCCCTTTGTCAGTTGAGTAGATTGCAAAAATTTTCTCCCATTCTGTAGGTTGCCTGTTCACTCTGATGGTAGTTTCTTTTGCTGTGCAGAAGCTCTTTAGTTTAATTGGATCTCATTTGTCAATTTTGGCTTTTGTTGCCGTTGCTTGTGGTGTTTTAGATATGAAGTCCTTGCCCATGCCTATGTCCTGAATGGTATCACCTAGGTTTTCTTCTAGGGTTTTTATGGTTTTAGGTCTAACATTTAAGTCTTTAATCCATCTTGACTTAATTTTTGTATAAGGTGTAAGGAAGGGATCCAGTTTCAGCTTTCTACATATGGCTAGCCAGTTTTCCCAGCACCATTTATTAAATAGGGAATCCTTTCCCCATTGCTTGTTTTTGTCAGGTTTGTCAAAGATCAGATAGTTGTAGATATGTGGTATTATTTCTGAGGGTTCTGTTCTGTTCCATTGGTCTATATCTCTGTTTTGGTACCAGTACCCTGCTGTTTTGGTTACTGTAGCCTTGTAGTATAGTTTGAAGTCAGGTAGTGTGATGCCTCCAGCTTTGTTCTTTTGGCTTAGGATTGACTTGGCAATGTGGGCTCTTTTTTGGTTCCACATGAACTTTAAAATAGTTTTTTCCAATTCTGTGAAGAAAATCATTGGTAGCTTGATGGGGATGGCATTGAATCTATAAATTACCTTGGGCAGTATGGCCATTTCATCAGTGTTTTGTAGCTTTCTTTGTATACATATTTTAACTCCTCAGTTAGATATATTCTTACTCTTATAACTACTGTAAATGGGATTGACCTCTTGATTTGGTGTGCAGTTTGATTGTTATTGGTCTGCAGAAATGATACAGACCTCTGTATGTTGATTTTGTATTCTGAACTGCTACTGAATTTATTTGTCAAATTTAGAAGTCTTTTGGTATAGTCTTTAGGATTTTCTAGCTACAAGATTATATTGTCAGCAAACAAATAATTTAACTTACTGTTTTCCTATTTGGATAACTTTTATTTCTTTCTCTGGCCTGATTGCTCTGGCTGGGACCTCCAATGCAATGTTGTATAGGAGTGGTGAAAGTGAGCATCCTTGTCTTCTTCCAGTTCTTAGGGGAAATACTTTCACTTTTCCTCTGTGTAGTATGATGTTGTCTGTGGGCTGTTGTATATGGCTTTTATTATTTTGAGGTATATTCCTTCTATATCTAGTTTTTTGAAGGTTTTTAAATCATGAATGAAGGTTGAATTTTATCAAATGTTTTTGCATCCATTGAGATAATCAGATTGTTTTTGTTTTTAATTCTGTTTATGTGGTGAATCACATTTGGCATAGAGTGAATCATACTTGTTTATGTGGAATAAAACCCACTTGATCATGACATATTACTTTTTTGATGTGCTATTGGATTTGGTTTGCTAGGTTTTTTTTTTTTTTTTTTTTTTTTTGAGGGTTTTTAAATCTGTGTTCATCAGGGAGGTTGATCTGTAGTTGTCTTTCTCATTGTGTGTCCTTGCTTGGCTTTGTATCCGGGTGATTCTGGCTTCAAAGTATGAGATGGAAAGAATTCTCTTCTGTTTGATTTTCTGGAACAATTTCCATAGGATTGGTGTCAGTTCTTTGTACATTTTGTAGAATTTGGTTGTGAATTTACCTGATCTTGTTTTTTATTTGTTGTCGTTGTTGCTGAAAAAGGTTTTATTACTGATTCAATCTCATATTTGTTATTAGTCTCTTTAGGATATTTATTTCTTCCTGGTTTAATATTGAAAGGTTGTATGTTTACTGAACTTACCCATTTCCTCTAGATTTTCTAGTTTGTAAGGACAGTTTTTCATAGTAGTCACTGATGATCTTTTGTGTTTCTATGGTATCAATTTTAATGTTTCTTTTTTCATTTCCAGATTTTGTATGTGAGTGTTTTTAAGATTTCTCTTCTTTTCTTAGATAGTCTAACTAGCAGTCTATCAGTTTTGGTTATCTTTTCAAATAACCAACTATTAACTTTGTTGATCCTTTGTATATTTTTTTAATTTCATTTAGTTTTGATCTGACCTTTGTAAATGTATTTTATTCTGCTAGCTTTGTGTTTGGTTGTTTCTTGTTTTTCTTGTTCTTTGAGGCATGTCATTAGGTTATTAATTCATGATCTGTATTTCTTTTGATCTAGGCATTTAATGCTATACACTTCCCTCTTAGCACTGCTTTTGTTGTATCTAAGGTTTTGCTATGCTGTGTCTCTATTTTCATTTGTTTCAAAATATTTTTAAGTTTACACCTTAGTTTTGTCATTGACTCAAAAATTATTCAGGAGCATGTTGTTTAATTTCCATTAATTTGTATTGTTTTAAGATTTCCTCTTAGAATTAATTTCTAGTTTTATTTCACTCTGCTCTGATGAGACACTTTATATAACTTATATTTTAAAAAAATTATCAAGTTGTGTTTTACGGCCCAACATATTATGTATCTTGGAGAATGTTCTGTGCACTGATGAGAGGAATGTATATTCAGTAGTTGTTAGATAGCATGATTTGTAAATGTCTGCTAGGTCCATTTGGTTTAAAATCTGATTTAAGTCCAGTATTTCTTTGTTAGTTTTCTGCCTTGATTATCAGTCTCATGATGTCAGTAGGATGTTGAAATCCCCTGCTGTTATTATATACCTGTCTTTCTCTTTTCTCAGATCTAGTAATATTTGTTGTATCAACCTGGATGCTCCAGTGTTGGGTGCATATACATTTAGAATTGTTATATCCTCTCGTTGGATTGATCCCTTCAGGATTATTTAATAACCTTCTTTGTCATTTTTTACTGTTGTTGATTTAAAGTCTATTTTATCTAAGTATAGCTATTCCTACTCCCTTTTCTGTTTCCTATGATTAGAATACATTTAAGGAACCTGTAAAAAAACATTCCAGGCCTGGCGCGGTGGCTTACACTTGTAATCCCAGCACTTTGGGAGGCCGAGGCGGGCAGATCACCAGGTCAGGAGATCGAGACCATCCTGGCTAACACGGTGAAACCCCGTCTCTACTAAAAATACAAAAAATTTAGTCAGGTGTGGCGGCATGAGCCTGTAGTCCCAGATGCTAGGGAGGCTGAGGCAGGAGGATGGCCTGAACCCGGGAGGCAGAGCTTGCAGTGAGCCGAGATCGCGCCACTGCAGGCCAGCCTGGGAGGCAGAGCAAGACTCCGTCTCAAAAAAAAAAAAAAAATTCCAGATGTAACTAAGGCCCCCCTAATTAGTTAACTTTAAGCCAATCAAAGGTGAATAACCTGAATGGGCATGGCTTTTTAAATCAGATAGATCTTTTAAAAGATAATCTGGATATCAGAGAGATTCTTTCCTGCTGACTTTTAAGAAGAAAGCTGCCAAGAGTTTTATAGTTGTAAGGAAATAAATTCTGCCACCAGTCATGTGAGTTTGGAAGAGGATCTTTGGATTTAGATGAGAACACAGTCCTAACTGACATGTTGATTGCAACCTTGTGAAGCCCTATGCAGACAGCCCAGCTAAAACATGCCTGTACTTCTAACACCAGGCAACTAACTGTGAAATAATATAAGTTGTTGAAAGCTACTGAGCATATGGTATATTGTTATGCAGCAAGAAAAAAACTAATACATTAGATTATAACTCTGTTTTGATATTTACTGGTTTACTTTGAGGTTTAAAGTATGCATGTTTCCTTTCTTTCTTTTTTTTTTTTTTTTTTGAGATGGAGTTTCACTTTTGTGTTCTGGGCTGGAGTGCAATGGTGCGATATTGGCTCACTGCAATCTTCACCTCCTGGGTGCAAGCGATTCTCCTGCCTCAGCTTCCTGAGTAGCTGGGATTACAGGAGCCCGCCACCACACCCAGCTAATTTTTGTATATTTAGTAGAGATGGGGTTTCACCATGTTGGCCAGGCTGGTCTCGAACTCCTGACTTCAGGTGATCCACCCGCCTCAGCCTCCCAAAGTGCTGGGATTACAGGCATGAGCCACGGCACCCAGCTGCATGTTTTCCTATCACAGATTATTCTCAACTCATATTATATAATTTCATACATAGTGAAAATCTTACAGTTTTCAGACTTCTTTCCTCTGTTTTTTTGTGCTATTGTTGCCACAGATTTTATTTTTACATAATTCTACCACAATACGGTTTTCTTACTTTTCCTTTAGACAACCAGTAATCCTTTAAGAAATCTTTATGCTTACATACAGAGTTACTGCTCTGTTTCTGGTGTTTGACTTTTTATTTTATTTTATTTTATTTTTTACCAAATATCCATCTGATATCATGTTACTTCTGCTTGTAAGACTTATTTTAGCATTCCTTCTTTGTAGTGTAATTCTGCTGGTGATTATTCTTTTCGCAGTTGCATGTCAGAAAAAAAGTCTTTATTTTCCCTTTATTTTTGAAATATATTATTCTGGATAAGGAATTATAGCCACAGAGGTTCTTTCTTTCTCTTTTTACTATTTCAAATAAAATTCTCAGCTGTATTTTCGCTTATATTATTTGTAGCAAGTGATCTGTTCTAATCCTTAGCTTTATTCTCTGTATATAATATGTCTTTTTCCTCTGTGCTCATTTATGAATTCCTAATATTTACTGTTTTTGAGTACTTTTATTGTCATGTGCCTTGGTGTATTTTTCTATATGTTTCTTATGCTTTGAGTTTGTTGAGATGCTTCAATATGAATTTAGAAGTTTAAATCTAATTTGATAAATCGTAGCTGTATTTCTTCAATTTTTAGTGTGTTCACCTTCCTCTTTTCTTTTTTCCTTCCGGCATTACAATGGCATCTGAAGTTAGCTTCTAGGTCACTAACGCTTTATTCATTTGTAAATGTTCCTTTTTTATCCATGTTATGTTGGATATTGCTTTTACTTTGTTATTAAGTTCACTGATCTTCCCTTCTGCAATGTCTAATCTGTTATTAATTTCATGCAGTGTGTTTTCGTATTTCAGTCATTGGAGTTTGTTTTACTGGAAGTTCAGTTTGGATATTTTTATATCTTTCTTGTTTCCACTCTACCTGTCCATTCTTTTCTCTATTCTCTTGACTATATGGGATACAGTTACAATAAATCTTTAAATGTCCTTTTTAAATAATCCTACAATTGACTACATCTGTAGGAAGTTGTAATTGATTTATTATGTTATTATTTTGGGTCATATTTTAATGCTTTTTTGCATGGCTGGCAATTTTTTATTTAATTCCTAATATAGTAACTTTTATCTTTGTGGTAGTGGATATTGTTGCATTCCTATATATATATATGTAGAAACATGCTAAAATGATTCATACTTTTCTCTATAAGAGAAAAAAATCTCTTTTTTAAGAATAAGTAAACAGGAGTATAATCTATTTGAGAGACTTAATCACTTTGAAATTGTTTCCAAAATTGCCTGTTGCTTTACAAAGGCAGTACCTTAATTCCTTGCAATTAATTGTTTTGGGTGTTTAAATTTTATTTTAAATAACTTAGATTAGCTTGGAAATAGATACATTACTTGTGTGTAACAGCAGTGTAAAGTAAGATCCATGGGATGGGAATTACACAAAATAACAAAAAAAATTTACTCAACATTTAAAACGTTTCACACTTAAAAACTTTGTTCTATGCATTATCAAGTACAATTTCATAGTACTTATTTTTGAAAGAAGTTAATTTTTGTAGTTTACCAGCTAAGTAGCTTTCAGTTGCACATCAGAGAAATGCAACTAAAAGTGGCTTTAACAAGAAGGAAGTTAGGTCAAGCTTATAATTATATTTTTAAAGATAAAGTTGGATAAAACAAAATATTTGCTAATGCAAGTGGCCCAAGTGGCAGATAAAATAGTTTGCTGATGACATCGCTGAGTTCACAAAATGTCCTTGAGCCACAATAAGAAGACTATTTGTCATGTGTTCTAAAGAAAAATAATGGGTCAAATTTGATTGTTTATATCAATGGTTCAGAGAATTAAAGTATTATTTTTCTTTGCTATAATATATAACAGGTAACACACTCAATAGGAGTATATAAAATAGTGTTT
Organism: Homo sapiens; assembly: GCF_000001405.40. Taxonomy (NCBI): domain Eukaryota; kingdom Metazoa; phylum Chordata; class Mammalia; order Primates; family Hominidae; genus Homo; species Homo sapiens. The sequence continues at coordinate 84,982,322 of NC_000005.10, forward strand.
CAAATAATTTTGAATGAATGAATGAGCTTGATTTGATATTATCTTACTCTTCTACTCAAAGAAAGAAAGACACCAAAAGTCGAAGTGAGAATGAGGCAATGTATAAATTGTTTATACACGCTCATTATTAATCATTGGGTTACAGATTATTTACTTCATTTCAATGGTTCTCTACTCTGGAACAATAAACATTGATCTAATTAACATATTAACATATTGGGTAACAAGAGTTGAAAACTCATACTATGTATAGTAAATTTAGAAGACTATATAAAACTTTACATGAATATGTCAGGGCTTGTTATTTAGACAAGCCAGTTATGGAATCTTAAGAATGATAAAATTTTTACAATTTTGCAGTGAGATCTTGAAACCAATTTTCTACAAAATAAACAAATAACTATGAGTGTGCATCAACCTAAAATAGGGATGTCTACATTGATGAGTAATTTAGCTAACAGATATAGATAGATAGATAGATAGATAGATAGATAGATAGATAGATACAGATATGTTCACCTTTATTCTTACTCTTCTTTCAAATGGTAGCTATTTTTTATTTGGATTAAAAGATTGACTATATTACATGTTTACTTCAATAATTATCTATAAACTTACCACGGAGCCATGCTTAAAAAAAAAAAACAAATTTAGGCTAGGAACAGTGGCTCATGCCTTTAATCCCAGCATTTTTGGAGCCTGAGGTGGGAGGATATATTGAGCCCAGGAGTTCAATACCAGCCTGGGTAACATACCAAGACCCTGTCTCTACAAAATTAAAAAAAAAAAAAAATTAGCTGGGGCAGTGGCATGTGCCTGTAGTCCCATCTACTCAGGAGGCTGAGGTGGGAGGAACACTTGAGCATGGGAGATGGAGGCTGCAGTGAACAATGATTGTGCCACCGCAGTGCAGCCTGGGCGACAGAGTGAGATCCTGTCTCAAAAATAAATAAATAAATAAATAAATAAATAAATAAATAAATAAATAATATAAATAAATACATAAAACAAATTTAAAGACAAATTAAAAATATTTTTACTTCTACTTAATAAAAAAAATCCAATGTACTTTTAATTTCCCATAAATAGCTTTTGGAAGAATAGGTGCTTTCCATCTATACTACTGTTGCTGAATGTTTTTGTGAATACATTTTTCTAGTAAGACAAACAACAATCCTTCCAATCTAATGCTTTTAAGAGAAATAGAAAACGATATATCAGGGCTGGGTGTGGTGGCTAATGCCTGTAATCCCAGCACTTTGGGAGGCTGACGCGGGCAGATAACTTGAGGTCAGGAGTTCGAGACCAGCCTGGCCAAGATGGCAAAACCTCATCTCTACTAAAAATACAAAAATTAACTGGGCATGATGTTGGACACCTGTAATCCAAGCTACTTGGGAGGCTGAGGTAGGAGAATAGCTTGAACCTGGGAGGCAGAGTTTGTGGTGAGCAGAGACTGAACTAGTGCACTCCAGCCTGGGTGATAGAAGAACACTCTGTCTCAAAAAGAAACAAAAAAAAAAAGAAAAGAGAAGAAAAGGATATATCACATATATGGAGTGGAGGATGTTTGTATAAATAAAAGGCTGGTCAGCGTGGATTTTTTAAATAGCCTTAGAAAAGAGCAATCAAAATAATATTCTGTATAATATTCTGTAGCTTTGAACATGAACTTTATTTTATTTACAGGTAATATTAATATTGCAATTCAAGTTATATTTCCTTCTGTGGATAAAGTTGATTTATATCTTTATGTTGATTATACTGTTATTTCTGCAGATATCATACACACTGGTATGTTTTAAAGAAAATAATATATCCGTTAAAAATTTAGTAAATACAGTTTAAATAGCCATTTGTTAAAATAATCAGAGTGATTATGATGAATACACAATAATGAGCAGGTTGAAGCAGATATTTGATAAAATGTTTGAAAACATCAGACTCAAATTGTCCAAGAATATACATATACACTTGCATGCATATTTTACATATTAATTTTATATAATGAAACAAGATATGTGTGTGTATTCAAGAATTTAGAGAAACTCAAATTTGAATGTAAGAAAGTACTACAAAAGTTAGTGAAATAAGAAAAATTAATTGATGAGTTTAACTAAAGGTTTAGAGATTTCTGGGAATAAAGGTATACTTTGTTAGTCATAATGAAAATATCTTACTTTCCTGAAAAAACATTTGAAGTTGTTAAATATCTCAAATTTTTTCACTCTGAATAATTCAATATATTCTATTCAAAAGATGTTTGTCAAAACAATAACTTAGAAACAACTAAATTCTTATTTATAAATTATATAATCTTCTCATGAAATAGTGGCATAATATTATATTTATTAATTTTTTTATTGAACAAACAGATCGGGTACTCTCCTAAGCTTAGGGATGAGACTGGATACAACAGGGAATGAACAAATATCTGCTCTCATGGACTTGACTTTCAAAAGAGAAAGACAAATATATAAACAAAAAACTCACCTAATATGAGACAATTAAAACTACTGTAACAAATTTGGAATATACATTCTAAATTTGTGATATATAAGTCACTGTGAAACAATACTATATGCTCCTGCACTAATATTAAGTTAAAAAGTAAAACAATCTAGAATGTCTGAGGTTACAATTATTGAATATACTATATCATATTGAATTTTGAGTGAGTCAAATGTTTTAATGTTTGTTAACATTACTTTCAATAAATTCCTCAAATTCACAATTGAAAATTGAAAACACTTAGAAATCGATATAAATGTTGAGATTATAAATAGTATGGTAAGTTAATGAACATCTTATTTAATTGTTATTGTGGGTGTTGTGACATCAGTAATAAAGACAAGTGTCTTTAAATTATCTAGTTGAGTGTGTTAATTGGCAATTTGAGGGGCTAGCTTTCTGGGTACACTGCTCTGTTAGCATGTCATGATAGTCTTTTAATTAAAACTCATAGATTACCTCTATTTTTTTTAAATCACAGCCTATGGTTTTTGCTGATAGCAACACAATGACGTCATCAAATGAAATACATTGACGAGCTGTAAGAAGTGATAGCACTTTATGGCTTGTTACAAGCTTCTGAAACACATTTAAATAGTGTGTTCAGGTAGCTGCTTTGTGAGGACAACAGGGAGACATTGTCATTTCAGTCCTGCCTACTAGCTTCTGACTCTGAACGTGCTTGCTGCAAATACTGTGGTCATGGATGAAGTCAAAGGCCATGCTTCTGGTTTTGGGATGGCTTTAAAGGAGATGAAATAACTTACATGGAAATTTGCTCTGTATGTTTCCTCAACAAAGAAAATTGAATCTTCAAAGACAGTGTATGAGGGTTGAAAAAAATGAAAAGTAAAAGACAAAAAGTCTGCAGCTAAAGTAGAACAAACACAACTTAGAATTATGAGTCGAAAGTTAGTAAATATATTGTAGTTGTTTTCCAAAGAGCTCAACTGAGATAATAGTTCTTTAATAATGTGTAAAGAATAGCAGTACTTACGATTTTTAAAGGCTGTCATTTGAGATGGTCAAAACGTAAGACGAGAATGCTGAATTAAAGCACACCACAAATAGCAAGCTTTTCAAACCATAAATTCAGGATACAATTTTGAGTAGAGGTTTATATGTTCCAAGTGGTCTTTTGGTGAGCCTGGGCAAAGCATTCTTGGGAATTGAGTCCAGGGCACATCTGACTTGTCATAAATTTTATATGTTTCAACCCTACTGGGGTTCAAAAGTGAGAAATTTGTTTGCATTCTGTTGCAATACCAATTGTATTAACAGATGTTTAAAGATGAATGTTCCAAACTAAAGGCATTTGTTTGATATTTTCAGCATCATTTTTTCTATTCACATATGTCAAAACAATTCTGAACAGCATGCTTTCCAAACTGCTAGTAATTTCTTTAGAGAAATAACTTCAGAAGCAAAAGTAATTAACTAAGCAAATAAAGTTTGTATAAAATTAGAACCTATTCAAGCAGAACAAAAATTTTTGTTAAAAAGCTCGTAAAGAAGGAACACAGATAATTAGCTTAAATTTCCACAGATATTAATGTTCTTTGTACATTATTATGCCCTATGCATTGTTTTATGAAAAAGTTTTATTTTTAATTTTTGTTGGTACATAGTACGCATAACCTATGAATTTTTATTGAGGTCTTAGTAGGAGCCACAAGCTGACCTGTTTCTGTGGTGGAAAAGGAACTGTTCACCTTTTGTATCACTTGTATGATTTTTAAATTTACATTATTAAAAATAAGGAAATAGGCTTGAGTGTCAGAGTGCCTTACCTACAGAGTCAATGCCGATATTACTTGGTGTTCTCCAAGACATAAGACTTTCCTCTGTTTCCCCAAAGGGAAACCATAGACTATCAATGGGCTGAGCACAGAAAATAGCACCACAGTTCTCCGGACCATCATTACATATACCTACGAGTGGAAACGAGCTGTGTGGATCATTCTCTCCACACGCAAAACAGGAGATGCAGGTCTTGTGAGGCTGTTGAGTCCACATTCTAATGCTGTTAGTACACTGCCCGGCGTATAGAATCCTCTCCTTTATAAATAGGCTTAGTCATGGTTATTGACAATTGCCCGGTGAAGAAGTTGTCTGAAACATGTAGTCAGCTGTTTCCTACTCATCAGTTTGAGACTCCAGCTACCTGTGGGAATCTTGAGGGCAAGGCTTGAAAAGAAACAGCTTCCTGGCAAAGGAAACAGGCTAAAACTGATCTTTGAATTGTCTAAATACCACACTTGCACAGCAAACGAGCTTTGAATTGCACTTTCACCAACCATACTATTCCATATAGATAGTCATTTTGAAAGATCTATAGCAAATTACACCCTCTAAATTAAATATAATTATTTAAAAATAAAGAGCCTTTCTGCATTCGTTAATTATTTAAATATACTTTATGTTGCAATAATTCATGGTAGCCAATGGTAGGATGGAGGTCCTAATGTTTTGAAATAGAGAAGCTGACCTATAATGGAATGGTTGTACCAAACAGTACACAGGAAAAACTATTTTGACCCAAAATATATATTACATAAGCAGAATCAAATATAATATACCAGAACAAGTAGAGACTGGGTGATTACATAATGTAATTATCTTCCTAGTCATTCTAGGGAACGTAAATGTGATAAAGGCAATTATGTGAGTAACTCTACTTGAATAATAGAGGTGGAGAGCATAAATATATTCACAATATCACTGATACTTTTAAATAGCAAAAATTTTGCCTCGTGATGTATAAGCTAAGAATCTATGAAAAACTAATTATAATAGATTTATGTGATGACTTGAACTTGTGATAATTGATCAATTTCATTCACTATTTTATTCTGTGATGATATACTGTAATCTTTCTCTATTTCATTTTCCCCCTTTTAGCATAAAGAATGTTCTTTTTAAAGAATCCTTGGTTTGTGTTGTCAAAAATTGGTGTGATTTATAGAAAAAATGCAAAAAGAGGAGCTAACAATTTGGCACTTAAATTTTATATTTTGATGTCTATTTGTATTTGAAGTTAGAATGCATTGAATATTATTTAAAAGTATAATATTCAATGTATTAAACATTTTATTCTGTTCCAAAGTTTTCGGTTTGCTACAACACTACATATTAGTACTGAACTTTTAAGAAATGTTACAAAAATGATGACTAATTACAGTCAATAGTAGTTATATTTATAAAATGAGGACAAATTGTGTAATTTGTTTTATCTCAAACCCGATTATTATAAATCGCTGGAATTTTTTTATTCTTATTTTATACTATTATCAAATTCTACATGTGTTATTATTCATCTTTGATAATTGGGCCATAATTTTCTTTAGTATTCAATATTACTTATCTAAAGCAAGTACTACTACATTTATCTTCATATTCCACGTTGCAGACTATGTTCCTGTTCCATACCTGTAAAGTAAAATGGGTAGCTATTTCTATTGCTAAAGAGAATTTATTGATTATTAAAGAGTTATAGATACAATCATATTAAATTATCTTACTGTGGCAGGTGAATTTTTAAAAGTGCAGAAACCTCACATATTCTCAGAAAAGATAGGATAATCCTTTTTTTCCATGTAAGAAACATTTCCCTAACTAAATGAGTCTTCTATAATGTCAAGCAATTACTTTGGCAAAAAAATGGTACTAGAGCATAAAAAATTAATTCAGTTCATAGATGACTGTTAAAGCCTGACAAGTTTTATTCCAAAAATAAATAAGTATCTGTCATTGTAGGTTTCTCAGGCTCTAGAAATCTTTCACACAAGATATTATCTGTAATTTCATTGAAAAATAAAATGAATACTTTCGTGCATAAAATATATTTATATGTTTGTGTTTATATTTTATTCCTATATGTCAAGTGAATTATTCTGTGTTAGTACCTGGTTTAAGTTAGGTAATTTGTGAGAAATAAGGAAATCTTACAATAACATGGCACACAGATTGCTTTAAAATTGAAATTCTGCTCCAAGGAGGCTTACACAGCAAGATCTTGCCTTGCACAGTAGGAGACCCACCTTTTGTGAACTATAGCCCTGCACAGGCTTCTAACGCTATGATTTTTTTTTTTAACCTTTCAGAAAGCCGTTCAATATCTAGAGAATCTATGAAGCAGAAGTCATGCTGATTTCTGAAAGGTTTTTTTAAAAATTGGGGTCCAGCAGAGTTATGCTCTGACAAAATTTTGTGCTGAATCCACTGCAGCAAGTTTCCAGTGTGTTTGAAGTCTTCGATGGAGAATGAATCCAATATGCTGCTAAAACATTCCCTCTTCCCCGCACCATCCTCTCTATTCTATCTCCTACTTGCTGGGAAAAGAGAAATCTTTCTTTTCTATGACTTAACTAGAATGATGCATTCCCTAATTTAGTAGAGTCTTCTCCTCACTTGTTCTAAAATACATATTTGTTGTGTTATGTAGTCTCAGGGTCTCAGTAAAACAAACAGGCAGCAGCATGGCTTACTAAAATGTTCCCTGATCTAGAAGTTATGAAACCTCTTATAGTCGTACATCACTAGTCTATTTATTTATCTCTCTGGGCCTGTTTTTTCACTTATAAAATAACATAGTTGACCAAGATAATTTGCTAGCTTGCTAACAGATTATCTGATTTTAAAACACAATAGTTTTCAACATGGATCATCCAGTATCTTCTCTTTGGATTCCTCCCACTAAAAGAGTTAATATACCTGCCAATGCCTATTTTACTGTGAAATATATTATTTACAGACCTTAAGAATTTAGTAAGCACAAGCCACTAAATATATCTTTGCTAATATTTTATTTTTATGTTAAGTAACCTTATTATTTTGATTTTTGCCACTCTGGAGGTATTAAGAAAATATCTTTATTGAGAAAAAAAATCCTCCCAGTGATAAACTACTTTTTGTTATTAGCTACTTTTATTTTTCTAAATATTAATTTTCAATATATTACATGAAATGGTGAAGCAGATTAATTTTAATTTTATACTGTTAATATGACACTTACCTCTTTCTCTTTATTCACAAGACAATATCTCTTTTTCTTCTGGTTTATGTAAGCTAACAGTTATCTCAAACACTACCTTAGAAAACACCATATCCTCATTCATAATGTGAGATAAGATTCACACATGCCACTCTCACCTTTTCCACACAGCTGCCCAAAGAACCACTACTGTTTAAATGCAACCATGCTTTGAAACATTATTTTTTTGCCATAATTACCATTCAGAAAAATTCATTGAATTGATATTTATTTATCCAACTTGGAAAAAAAAGTTCAACACTGAATAAAGCATAGTATTGTGTAAATAGACACTGCAGGTAATAACAGAATGGGGACAGTATAGAGACAATGCAAGCTGGATGTCAAGGATCAGTAATATAGGAAAGAAAAATATTGGAATGCTGTTTTAAAATTCAACACTTGAGTGATGTTCTATAAATAATGGATGCCAAACAATATTCTTGAAAGGCAGAGTGATTATGAGATAAACTGGTGAGGAGGTGAGGAGAGAATTATTCCTGAAACAATGAAAAACAATGAACGGAAGTGTTGACTTTTCTTGATCATTAACAGAGACAGCTTTCAATAAATATGCACTCCAGCATTTTTCAGTGTAGAAAGTACACACTGTAGAGAAAAACTGTCTGAAGCATTGGAATTGAGTGGGCAATATTATATTTTAGGAAATGTAAAGGTCATTTATTTAAAAGCATAAAGTGAAACTGTTGATAGCTACATTTAGGAGGCTACGTTGTCAAAAAATTGCCTTATCAATTTAGTTTTACACATACACAGCTTACCCCCTCACACACTTAAGCACATCCAAATGTACAAATGCCCATTTGTACATGAAATTAAGACTACTGTTAAATGATGAGTTACTTGGTGCAGCACACCAACATGGCACATGTATACATATGTAACTAACCTGCACGTTGTGCACATGTACCCTAAAACTTAAAGTATAATTTAAAAAAAGAGTTAGAGTAGAAAAAAGGCTATATCAGACCTTAAATTGTAATAAAGTTTTAAAGCACATTTCTAATTTCATATTCTTGCTAATTTAGAAAATTTTGTCTATTTTTATAAAGTTGATAAGAGAAATTAGAAAAGATTTGAATTTATATTACTTTTGCAGTAAAATGTGACTTTCATTAATAATTCTCTCTAAGCTACTTTGCACTTCAATAAAAATATTTTATCGTGGGGATGACATTAGTGTGTTGAGCCCTGAGAATGCACTTCTCTTCGTTCTGGCAGTTACTCCCTGACCACTCACAGATCACAGATTAATTGTACTTGATCTGATTCTTAACAAAGAGAGTCAGATTGTTAAGAAATTCTACTCCTTTCTTTTATAAGTTACATTTGTCAAAGTTAATTGAATCAAATAAAACTGCATGCCAAATCCATTATAGAATTTAAAAAAATATATTTATTTTATCATTTATGTTGTTCCCCATATAACCTAGCCATATTATCAAATGAGCAGTATAAATGAATTGATTAATGTTTGCTGTTCATTGGAGACATTAGCAAAAAGTACATCTACTCCTTAATATCATAGGTTAATTGCTGATATTCCCCACGATTTATCCTTGTTCATATTATCTTTTTGCTTTACATAATCTCCTTGATTTCAACTTATAGTCTCTCAACTTAATTATATTATCACTCTAAATTATTTCTGTAGCTCACACTAGTATTATCTATTCTTTAATACCTCTATCCAGATAACCCATGCCACTCTAGACAGATAAACTCATTTTTTTCATCAACTCATGTATGTTTCCTTCTTTTTTCTCATTTAACTTTTACCATTATAATCCACTTAATTTCCCATATCTGATATTCCTGGCTATCTCATTGGACTTTAAACTCTTTAAGGAAAGTCTGTCTTATTCATTTCTATATTACTAGTTTTACTGCGTAATACGGTTAAGAGCCCAGATTCTGAAGCCAGAATGCCAAGTTTCAAATTTTAGCCATGTATTTTAATAATGATGAGACATTGGGCAAATTGTTCTCTGCAGTAATGTTTCATGCTGGAAAATAGGAACATCATTAGTCTACCTCAATAGGGCAATATTCAGGATGAACTGAGATAACTTATGTGAAGTTAATAGAAAGTTTTTAGTAAATGTTAATGACAAATTATTATTATTAAATGTATTATTATTATTTTATCTCCATATCTGCCATGGTGATTAAAGACTAAATAAATTAATGCAGGCAAGTTAGAACTAATTTACAATATTCCTAAAATGTCCTAACACATTATCATAAACATCTGTGTTTGAAAAAAAAATTGTGTGATATCAGATGTAAAATTGTTATCAATTTTATATATATGTATATATATTACAGTACACATATTCTCTGGTACAGGAAAATTATTTGGTAACACTATAATCTTTAGAATTTAATTTAGCACAATAGTTAAATAAAATATTATCTTGGAATACAATTTTGCTAAATATATTTATTGTTTATACCAAAGAGTTTCTCAAGATGTAATCTGGAAATGTTATTATGACTGGTATTAAATCCATAGAAAACAGAGCTCTCTGTCCAATAGTTTTCAGATACGATGAGTTAAAGGCGTAGATAGATTTCTTCACTGAAATAATTCTCATAATTTTAATAAAGTATTTTGCATTATGGAGACCTGTGAGGGCAGAGGTATGGAATAGAGGGTTTTTTCCCCTAAATATATTTAGGCTTTCTTCTGAGAAGATTACTTGGAGCTGGTTCTCCATCAAGCAAAGTAGAAAAAAAATAGACTTTATTTATTTATTTATTTATTGGTTGGGTTTGAATTTAACCTGCTTGGTGGATTTGATTCTTTATATAAGGGGGTGAGGAATAGATGGAAATGCAGTTATCCTATTGACATTGGACTGTTTGTCGCTTGTTTATTCTGTTAATATTCTTTCTTGGTTTTGTAGACTCTGACAGTGGTATAGGCTTGATTTAAGAAGACGTTAGGAAATCATAAGCTAGAGAAGTAATGAAAATTTTCCTGAAGACTTCTTCGTCTCCTTTCTTAGCATATTGTATAGATGAAACTGGTGTCTAACCAGATTGCCAAAATATTTTTGTGGGTTGATTTAGAGACCGGTCCCTTAGATAACTTGCTGTGAGGAGAGTAAAATTGTTTACTTTCTTTAAGATCTAAGACAGTATCATCCATATGTTTTCTTTTGTTCAAAGGGAAAGTAGGACTCAAAACTTAAATTCATGTTTATTCAAGTGTATCTCATAGATATTCAAGAATTAAACTCATCTGTTATATGTAATTAAAATTCTTAGGGGTACTTATAATATAATTGAATTATAAGGTGCCCTGCGAGCTTTGCCACCTTGAGGGAGAAAACTATAAAATGAAATGGCTCTCTGGCTGACTGCAAAATGAAGTAGGCCCTCATAATTCATTTACAGATGATCCCAAGATCCTTAGAACCTGAATAACTAGTGAGACTTTTTAAGAATTTTTGTCTTTTTAAGATTTATGTAACCATGTACTTAGCTTCTTTTCTTTATTAAAGAAAATCATATGAAGTTTCTCAATGCCTCATGTCATTTGGAACTTTTTAAAATTCTTTTTTGATACCAGTCCAGATTAACATAATTTAAATTTTTATTTTTTAATTACTTGTTTTTGTTCACTTTATGAATATTTTCTTCAGGAAAGTTTTAGTAATGAAAGAAAATAAAATTATAAGCCAGTGTTTATAATGCCACAGATATGTGTTTTTAATATACATTTGTCTGAAGGTGTATAATAAAGCCAAATGGTTGCTTTAGTTTAGGAGGTGGGGAGAGGGAGAGAGAGACAGAGAGAACATGTAAACCACACAGAACACAGGGGTGGATTGTGGTTCTTTCTAATCCTTTTTTAAAACATTTATTTTAGATTCAGGGTTACATGTGCAGGTTTGTTTTACAGGTACATTGTGTCATGGGGGTTTGGTGTACAGTTTATTTTATAAGCCAGGTAATAAGCATAGGACCTTACAGGTAGTTTTTTGACCCTCATCCTCCTCCCAGCCTCCACCCCCAAATAGGCCTGATGTTTGTTCCCATCTTTGTGTCCATGTGTCCTCAATGTTTAGTGCCCACTTATAAGAGAGAACATGCAGTATTTGGTTTTCTGTTCCTGCGTTAATTCACTTAGGATAACCGTCTCCAGTTCCATTTATGTTGCTGCAAAGACATGATCTCATTTTTTTATGGCTGCATAATATGTCATGGTGTATATATACCACATTTTCTTTCTCCAGTCAAACATTCATGGGAATTTAGGTTGACTCCATATCTTTGCTGTTGTGAATAGTGCTGCCATGAATTTAGGCATGCATGTGTTTTTTGGTGGAACAATTTACATTCCTTTGGGTAGACACCCAGTAATGAGATTTCTGGGTCGAATGGTAATTTAAGTTATTTGAGAAACTGCCAAACTGCTTTCCACAATGGAAATTTACATTCCAAGCGGCAGTGTATAAGCGGTCCCTTTTTTCCACAACCTTGCCAGTATATGTTGTTTTTAACTTTTTAATAATTGCCATTCTGACTGATGTGAGGTGGTATCTCATTGTGGTTTTCATTTACATTTCTCTAATAAATAGTGATCCCATACTAATTCCTTTTCCTTGCATTCATTTGTTCACTTTGTGGAAAGTAGAATCTGAAAGGACAATATTCTCTCTGATTATTAATCAGTATATAATACAGTATCTCAATGATGAGGAGGAATATGGCACAATATGTTTACCTACTCCATGGACTACCTACTTCTTAATTATCCAGAATTATTTGTTTGATTAACATGATACTTTTCTATACAGTGATATATTCACTGTAGATACCAGGGACATAAATATACCAGTGGGGAAGAAACACTAATTTCAGAAAATTAAGAATATATATGTATATTAAAAAATAAATTAAAAACAGCAGTTTCTGGTGGGGAAGTACTGTGAAAATTGGATCAGTACTTTCAGATTACTAGTTCAAAAGCAAATCATCATTAGGATTATATTTCAATCTCTATCTTTTTCTATTCAATTTTTCATATCTCAGCTGCATTAACCAAGTGGAACCTTCACAATCACTAAAGCACTCCATTAAAATTCCATATAATGGTGTCAGTGCTCTGCTTGATTTCATGTGGACTCTGGTTAACACAGCTTTTGGATGGGACCTATTAGTCAGAATGGGGCTTACACGTAGGCTGATTCTGATTCAACATTTTAAATGCCATTGACACTATGGACTTGCTGTAGAAGTCTCCATACACCTTTTATTCAGATGTGGCACCTGTTTGATTCATTTTAATTGTTTTATAATCTTATTTCCCTAATGTCTAAGTGCTTGCAGTTTTATTTATTCCAAAGCATCATAGACCTATCTGTGATGAATGCATGACCATTATGCTGTAACAGAGAAACAACAATGATCATGGAATTCTCAATGCAGTGTTTTTAAGGAGATTTTTACAAAGAAAATTGTAATTCTCTGCCTGGGATATATAATGATAAGGACCATAGTTATTACATTTGTCATAGGAAGTTTTTTTAATACACAATGCATGAAAGCTGCCATATAAGTGCCATAGCATTTAAATTTTTTGCATGTCTTTCTTTTTTCTGCTCTTAAAACTAGTTCATTTATTTAAAATAAAGGTAATTCCTTTAAAAATTGTTTTGCTTAGCAAAGGCATAGGTTAAATTTCTCTCTTAGTTATTGTGAATAGAAGTTGTTTTAATTGTGTCTAGAGGGACTTACTTGCTTCATATCATCTTATTAAATCATATTCTGACAAAAAGCTAATTTGGCAGTGGAGTATATAACCTTGATTGTAACCTAGATTTTTAAACTTTCTGAATGAAGTAATAAATACGCATAAACTCCCCATACACATGTATGATTGATAGATGGATAGCTAACTACCTAGCTAGCTAGACACTAAATATTGATTTAGCTCACTAGATTGGCACAGATCAAACATATGTTTTGAATATCCACAATTCTTTAGAAGCACCTTTTTTGCATTCTATTATACCTACCACTCTCTCCAGTGGGAAACCAATGCTTTGACCTCTAACACAACTTCATGTCTGGTTTTGATCTTTAAATAAGTTTAATCTTATATGCCTTCTAATTTTTGTGTCATCTTACTTTTAATATTATATTTAACGTAGCCATTTATGCAATAGATCAGAGTTATATTTGTTCATTTTTATTGTGATATGCAGTTACTATTTTTCAAAAGGATAGCCAATCGAAACAGCTTCATTTATTGAAAACATACTTTGTCCCACAGCAATATAATGTGATTTTAGTCACAATCAAACGTCCACGTGAATGTGTATCTATTTATTGAATCTTTTCTGTTTCCTTATTTGTTTATTATTTCACTAATACCACACTTTATTATTATAATTCTATAAGGCTTACTATTAAATAGTTTATTTTTTCACATTGTTTCTTTTCCTTGACTATTCTTTTGACTTTACATCTCATATGTTTTTCAACTTTGTATTGAAGTAAAGTGTACATAAATGTACAGCTTAATAAATGTTTTCAAATACATCACAGTCCTTATCAGCACCCAGAGCAAGAATGCAACCAAATATAGTCCCAGCACTCAGGACTGACTTCCTTGTTCCCTTCCCTTCATTATACTCTCTTTCTAGGATCACCTCACCACTATTCTGACTTTTTCTAATAGTGTAGTTTGGATTTGTCTGTATATTTACTATACACATATGGAATAATGTGGTAATCTTTGGTGTTTAGTTTTAATTGCAGAGCACTATAATTGTGAAATTCACACAAGTAGTTGGATGTAGCTGTTTGCATTGTGGTATAGTGTTCCAAATATACCAAAATGTACTATCTCTCTTATTGGTGATGGATATTTGGGTATTTTCTAGTTTTTGTCTGATATAAATAATAGTGCTAGAAACATTCCAGCACATGACTGTTAGTGACTTCTATATACAATTTTGGTGTTTATTTAAGAATAAAGATGTTCAGATGTAATATATCCTATTGTTTTACTTACCCATTGTTGCATGACAAGTCACTGCAAAGCTCAAGAGTTTTATAAGAACAATCATTTTATATTCTCTTGGTTCTGCAGTCTGGACTGGACTATCTAGGCAGATTTTCTGCTAGTGTTTTTGCCTCATGTAGCTACCTCTAATGGTTTGGTTGGAGCAAGACTTAGCTGGAAGAATGGGGCAGCATGTCTGTTATCTTCATGTAATTGTAGTTTCTTTATGTGGTCTCTCCGGAATGATGAATGAACTTCTAACATGTTGCCCAAAGCTCCCAATAGTGCAAAAGCAGGAGTGGCCAGACCCTTTTTAAGCTTAACGCACTGTATTAGGACAAGCACTGCATCATTTTCACTGCACTTTATTGCCAAAATTATTACCTAGGTCCAGGTCGGATTCAAGAAAATGGGACTCCACAAGAGCATGAATACTGAGAATAGTCAACACAATAGATTATAACATCTACCTTAATAGTTACGGAAACTGCTTGCTGAGATATTTCATTCTTAGACTGTGCTTTTCAGATATTGAAATTGAGGTTATGCTGGATTTGTGAAAAAAGCTAGAGGCCGGGCACCGTGGCTCACGCCTGTAATCCCAGCACTTTGGGAGGCCGAGGCGGGCGGATCACCAGGTCAGGAGATGGAGACCATCCTGGCTAACACGGTGAAAACCCGTCTCTACTAAAAATTAAAAAATAAAAAATTAGCCAGGCGTGGTGGCAGGTGCCTGTAGTCCCAGCTACTAGGGAGGCTGAGGCAGGAGAATGCCATCAACCCAGGAGGCGGAGCTTGCAGTGAGCCGAGATCGCGCCACTGCACTGCAGCCTGGGTGACAGAGCGAGACTCTGTCTCAAAAAAAAAAAAAAAAAAAAAAAAAAGCTAGAAAGTTTTCTCTCTTTTCTATTCCTGGAACTATTCATGCAATATTCATGTTTTTTTCTTTCTTAGCTAGTTGGAAAAATTCACCAGTGAAGCCATATGAGCTTGGGGTTTCTTTGTCGGAAAGTTTTAAACCAAAGGTATAATTTTTAGGATAAATATTGGATGATTCATATATTTTGTTAGTATTTGGGAAGTTGTATTTTTGAAAATAATGTCCATTTAATACATATTTTAATATTTAGGAATAATTTGTATCCTCTTTTACTCCTTTTGATATCTGAGGGAATGGTGCAAGTGTCCTCTTTTTCATTTCTGATATTGATAAGTTGTTATTTATGTATTTTTTATTCATAATTTCTAGTAAAAGTTTATTAGTTCTATTAGCCTTTTCAAAAACTAACTTGTTTTTATTGATTTTGTCTTTTTAATGTTTTTGCTATATTCGTTAATTTTCGGTCTATATTATTTGTTTATTTCTACTTTCTTTGATGTCGACTTGTTGTTACTTTATTGGATTCTTGAAATGAAAGTTTAGTTGACTTGTTTTAAGACTTTTCTTTTCTAATAAATGTGTTTTAAGAGTATACGTTTATTCTAACCATTGATTGAGTTTAGTCCTATACATTTTGTATGTCATACCTCATTATCACAGTTCACACTCTTTAAAATTTATTTTGATCATTATTAATCTTATATAGTTTAATTACATTTATTTGAATTTTCTACTTATTTTCCTTTTTAGGGTTAAATAACAGTATCAAAACTATGCTGTGATGAAGAAAAAAATTAAGTACTTCTGAAGCTTTATTGTCCAGCTTGTAATTCCTTTATTTTATTTTTATAAATATTCCAAATATATTTGAAAGAAATGTGAATTCTTTTAATTTTGGGGGTAAATATTCTGTAGATACTGATTAGTCAACTTTGTTCTTTTTTTTTTTTTTTTTTGAGACGGAGTCTCGCTCTGTCGCCCAGGCCGGACTGCGGACTGCAGTGGCGCAATCTCGGCTCACTGCAAGCTCTGCTTCCCGGGTTCACGCCATTCTCCTGCCTCAGCCTCCCGAGTAGCTGGGACTACAGGCGCCCGCCACCGCACCCGGCTAATTTTTTGTATTTTTAGTAGAGACGGGGTTTCACCTTGTTAGCCAGGATGGTCTCGATCTCCTGACCTCATGATCCACCCGCCTCGGCCTCCCAAAGTGCTGGGATTACAGGCGTGAGCCACCGCGCCCGGCCAACTTTGTTCTTATCTTCATTATCTTTCCTGTTTTTTTCCCTAACAGCTGATAGTGGTATGTTATAGTTTGCCAGTGTCATTATGATGTCACTATGTCTTCTTTGCTCATTTTGAATTTTTGCATTCTGTGTTATGAAGATGTTATTGGCTGTATTCATAGGTAGCCTATATTCCTGATGCTTTCACCTGCTTATCAATATTAAATGTCCCTCTTCATCTCTAATAAAGTTTCTTGCCTTAGAGTATATTTTGTCTGATAGTATTATAGCTACATCAGTTTTTTGGTGGTTATATTCCTTCTAGTTTCAAACTATCTGTGTACTAATTTTTATACAGTCTGAATATCTAAGATTTTTATTTGAATCAGATAACCCTAGGGAAAATCAAACCCAATATTTAGGCCAATTTTCTGGATTGTCCTCTTCTAAAAACTGGCTACAAATTTATTTGTTATCTTGTTAGTGTTTTAGTTTCATCAAGTACATATTTTAAAAACTTGTAATTTTTATAGAATTACCAATTCTTCTCTTGGAGTAGTGTTTCCAAATCACTTCACCAACAACTACCAGAAATTCTTTTTTGTTATTTAGTTTTAATTTCATAATCATAAACTCTGCAATCCAGCTAGGCATGGAAGGGAACAAAGAAAACATGAAGTCCAAAGGGAACTGCAGCGAGAGCACAAAGATTCTAAGATACTGCGAGCAAATGGGGTGGAGGGGTGCTCTCCTGAGCTACAGAAGGAATGGTCTGGTGGTTAAGATAAAACACAAGTCAAACTTACTAGAGTTTTCCACAGTCAACAATGGTGATCTTTCTAGTCTTGCCATTCCTGAAGTGTTCCATAGCCTATGGCCTTCACAATATTCATGCCTTCTTTCTCCTTGCCAAAGACCAAATGCTTGCCATCCAACCACTCAGTCTTGGCAGTGCAGATGAAAAACTGGGAAACGTTTGTGCCAGGTCCAGCATTTGCCATGGACAAGATGCCAGGACCTGTATGCTTTAGGATGAAGTTCTCGTCATCAAATTTCTCCTGGTAGATGGACTTGCCACCAGTGCCTTTATGGCGTGTGAAGTCACCACTCTGATACATAAACCCTGGAATAATTCTGTGAAAGAAGGAACCCTTAGAACCAAATTCTTTCTCTCCAGTGCTCAGAGCACCAAAGTTTTCTGTTGTCTTTGGAAACTTGTCTGCAAATCTGCAAATAGCTTGACGGAGACACGGCCCAAGTTCTCGCCGTCTACGGCGATGTTGAAGAACATGGTAGGGTTGACTGTGCTTTGCAGAAACACTTTTTTAAAAATCCCTGTAAGTGTAATACCCCTACCTAACTGGGAATCTAATGCTTGCTATTAATAAACATGTTTGATTGTCTTCCTTCCAGGTACTCCATACTACAAGTTCTAAACCTACGTTGTTTTTGTATCTCAGACTCATTCACATAAAACCCAAAATAACTTTTTAGGTATTCAGACAGACATGAAAAGTGTAATCTCCCTTTCTACCAGAGAAGATTTTTTTCTCATTTGCAAGCTTTTAACTCATAGACACTAATCAATGGGGTGAAAAGCATGCATCTAATTTTAAAAATTATATTTCTAGTGTTTACCCTTTCTATTAAAAACTCCAATGAGCATTTTTTATAATGTTAAGCCATCTGCTATTGAATGTTTTGTGTTTTCACAACAAGCCTAAAGACACTAGGATGAATCAGATGTACTGGATCTCAGAAAACTGAAATGGGTAGATTTCTGTATGCCAAAGTTCATCCTTTCAGCAGGAATTTTGCCTTTCTGTAAATGGGAAGCTGTCTCTGACAATAGTGACTCATAATTTAGCTGTCATGCTCAACCACTTAGATGAAAGGCATGAGAAAACTCTAGAACTAGAGCCTTGGGAAGAAAGCCTGCCCAATGTCCATGAAAGAGCTCTTTCTTTCTTAACTTGCAATTTGAAAAAAATATATGAATGAATAATAAAATAAGCATTTATACAAATTTTTCTTTCATTCTATCCTTCTTTCAGTTTTTGTTTGTGATTTGGTAATAAACAAAGCCAATGAAACAATGATAGGCTGGGTGTGCTGACTTATGCCTATCATCTCAGCTCTTTGGGAGGGCAAGGCAGGAGGATTACTTGAGCCCAGGAGTTCGAGGTTGCAGCAAGCTATGATTGTGTCACTACACTCCAGCCTGGGCGACAGGGCAAGATCCTGCTTCTTAACACAAACAAACAAACAAAAATAGGCCTGAGCCATTTCAAAATTAATAAAATTGTCTAGTTTATCTCAAGGAGGGCAACAAGGTAAATTGTATTCACTCCTGAATACTTAAGCAAACTTTCCACCTCTAAAGGAATAACACTTATTAAAACATAAAGGCAGTCCTTGCTGTCAGAAATATTTTGACTTCCAGGTATTTTATTACTTAATTTAAAAAAAAACATTCAGGAAAATTGGCCACAGAAATTTTCTATGTTCTTATAATAAATTGCATGATGAATTATTTCATTTGAACTTTTTAGTATAACTATAGTTCATCACCAATTAAGTGAAATAGGAAACTGAGTTATCAATATTGACATGCTTATTTGATTGACAATACACTTAGAATAAGACCTCCCACAAAATGCATTTCAAAATTGATATAAATGAACCAGAAATTCGTCTATGTTGCTTGACAAAAATAGATTTTATCTTTAACAAAATTTCTTTATATATAGCCTTCAGTTGCCATAAGCTTTGCATTTATAGACACATTTTTATTTTAAACATTTGAATTTTAAATAGGGTTTATGTAAAATCACTCTCACAATTACCTTAAAAGCCAGAATACAGCATTTTACAATTAAACACATTTATGCTATAAATATTTCTAAAAACAACCATCTTGTAAAATATTTAACCCGGATGCATTTAAACTGATAAGACGATACTATTTCTGGCTACTCATTAGCCAACCCAAGCCTTCTTTTTTTTTTTTTTTTTTTTTTGAGACAGAGTCTCCTTCTGTCACCCAGGCTGGAGTGCAGTGGCAGGATCTCAGCTCACTGCAACCTCCTCCTCCCAGGTGCAAGCGATTCTTCTGCCTCAGCCTCTCGAGTAGCTGCGGTTACAGGTGCACGCCACCACACCCAGCTAATTTTTTTGTATTTTTAGTAGAGATGCGGTTTCACCATGTTGGCCAGGCTGATCTCCACCTCCTGACCTTAGGTGATTCACTCGCCTCGGCCTCCCAAAGTGCTGGTATTACAGGGTTGAGCCACCGCACTCGGCCATCCAACCCCTTTTTATCCTCCTCCATCCACTATAGTTCTCAGCCTCTAATAACCTTCATTCTACAGTCTATCTCCATGAATTTATTTTATTTAAGCTCCCATATATGAGTGAGAACATCCTATATTTGCCCTTTTTTCCTGGCCCACTTCACTTAACATAATGACCTTTTGATTCATCCATGCTTATGCAGATGTTAGGATTTCATTTTTTGATTGCTCAATATTCCACTGTGTATAAATACCACATTTTATCCATTGATCCATTGATGAACCCTAGTTTGATTCTATCTCTTGGCTATTGTGAATAATACAGCAATGAAAACTGTAGTGCAGGTGTTCCTTTGGCATACTCATTTCATTTTCTTTGGATATATAACCCTTAGTGAGATTGCTGGATCATATTGTAGTTCTATTTCTAAATTTTTGAGGAATTCCATACTGTTTTTCACAATGCTTAAAGTAATTAACATTACCAACAGTGAACAAGCGGTCCTTTTTCTCCACATTCTCACCAATACTTTTTATTTTTTTGATAATAACCATTATGATCAGTGTGAGATAACATCTCATAATGGTTTTAAATGTTTTCCTGATGCCTAGTGATATTCAACTTTTTTTCCATATGCTTATTGGCCATGTGTATGTCTTCTTTTGAAAAATTTCTAATCAAGTTTTTTGCCAATTTTTTTCAATCAAGCTATGTTTTCTTACAATTGAGTTGTTTGAGTTCCTCAGAAGTTTTTGATATTAACCTCTTGTCAGAGGGCGGTTTTGCAATTGTTTTCTCCCATTCTGTAAGTTGTCTTTCGATTTTATTGACTGTTTTTCCTTTGTATGCAGATTTTTAGTTCAGAGTAATCCTATTTGACTATCTTTATTTTTGCAACTTGTGTTTTTGAGGGTCATAATCCAAAAAACTATTGTTTAGAACAATGTGTTGGAACATTTTTCCTATATTTTCTCAAAGCAGTTTTAGTTTTTGGTCTTACATTCAAAAACTAAATCCATATTGAGTTGATTTTTGTATATGACATGAAATGAGGGTCCAAATTCATTATTCTGCATGTGGATAAACAGTTTTTCTGACACCCATGTGTTGAAGAGACTATTATTTCCCCATTGTGCATTCTTGGCACCATCTTTGTCAAAAATCAATTGTTTAAAAATATGAGGATTTATTTCTGGGCTCTCTCTTCTGTGTCATTAGTCTATGTGTTTGGTTTCATGCCAGTACCATCAGCATTTGCATTATTAGTCTCTGATCCAAATGTCTAATAATTACCAAATTTTATGAAAATTAAAGGGTAACTTCTTAAATTTATATTCAAGAGGCAGTTTTCTATTTCAATAATTTCTAATCATATAGAAGAAACATTTTAGAGTTTTTTTAATATTAGAGAATGGGTTCTTTTTTAAAAAAATCTTAATTCATCATTTACAAATACTTAGAGATATAAATATCTAGAGTCATTATTAACTCAAGAAAAAGACTTTCAGAGCCTAAGAAGATTAACATCTAGTTCGGACACAATTAATAAAATAAAGCCTAGGTATATTCATTTCTAGGTGCATATTAGGGTGCCAGGTTCTGCATTGGCTACACATTCCCAAACTGTTTCATTTATTTCTTGAGAGGTGAATGCAAATAAGTCAATGGTTTTTATAACATCTTATTTTGCTCAGCTGTCAACAAAGATACAAGGTCTCACTATTTACTTGAATTTGAGTGATATCAGAATAACATGTAAACAAAATAGAATGGCATGCTATTGTCATTGACTCTGTATTCTAGTCAGGGAGAAAAGTTAAAAAGTAAAAATAATATTTGCAATTATGATACTTAGGATAAAGAAATAAAAATAAGCGACAGAGGTAGAAAAATTATAGAATCATATAAATAATTTGTAATTAATATGTAAATCTCTCGGAAGAGGTAACATTTAAGCTGACACCTAATGAATGAGTAGTCCATTAGAGTAGAAGCAGAACATTCCAGGCAGAAGATAAAACATGCACATTGAACCTGTGTCTGGAAAGGATTTGATGTGGCTAAATAATATAATGATTATGGGCCTAACTCACAATACTTGAGAAGGACAATCATAATAAATTAAGGTGAAAATTAGATTAGGGCTAACTTATGGCATAGTTTGGTGAGCCATGATAAGAACTGACTTCTTAAAAATTTTAATGGAAAAACATTAAGGGATTTTAATAGAGATATTAACATAATCTAATGTACATTTTAATGACACTGTTGTTGTTCTGTGGAGTATGTATTTGAGGGACCAAGGAGTATGTGCAATGACCTGTTAGAACAGTCAACATAATAAATTTTCATATTCTCTGCTAAGATGGTAGTAGCAGAAATTCAAATATATTAAAAGACATTAGATATGTTTTCTACATATGACAAAAATAATTTTTGATAGGTTGGATTTGAGGATAGGGAAAAATAGAAATAACATGACTTTATAGTTTCTGGCATAAATAATTAAGTAGATAATGGTGCTATTTAAGACTGTGGTTGGGGTGAACATACCTCCTTGTTTATCTGTGACATTCCTAGTTTACACTTTCCCTCTCTAAAATTTGCCAGTTTAGAGAGTAAATGTATGGTTGATATGGGTTTGGAGGCAGTTAGGCAGGAGTTATCTCTGTATATGATTGAGATCTATGAATACATTCAAATGAAGCATCTCAAGTGTTACAATTTTAATACATTTTCAAATAGATATTTAATACATTTTCAAAATGAAGGGTATGAGCTAAATCTTTTGATCAAATTTTGGGATAGACATAATCTTTGTTGAAGTTCTTGGGAACTGCCTATTACCTTTCTGTAAAAGAAAAATGACCCGTGAACATATTAAGTTTTATGAAGCTCTGGGGAAGTGCCAGCTATTTTGTAAACATTTTATATTCTCCCATTTCCTTGATATTTTGAAAACTTTGACTTCTTAACATAAAAATTTAGAAAATCACATTTTTTTCTTCTTTTCCCTGTGCTGATAAGACATGATGTGAAAAAAATAAACAATTCTTAAATTGTAGATCTATTTCATAGCCATGGAACTTCAGGTGTACATCCTGAGGCAGGATAAATAAGGGTAGAAGGCCATAGTGACTTGTCCCCTTGTGTTAAGCACCATGGACTCCTTTTGCCACAGTGTCCCTTTATTTGCACTCTCCTGTTAGCACTGATTCTTTTGCAAGATGAGCTGTCCTGCAGAATACCAACAGACTGCCAGATGGTTCCAAGTTCCTGTTACATAATAAGGCCCAGGAAAGAGAACAAAAACCCCTTACTCATGATGTATCTTCCCCAATCTCCAGCCAATCAGCACCAAAAGCCCAAGAAGCTATTAGCTACAAATGCCTGCCTTGGTGGGGGCCTGGGATGCTGGGTGAAACTAAGGACTTCTCCAGGGTCCTCCGTGTGCAGCCAGGCTCAAGGTTTAGCTTATAGTGACCTTTTCCTCATCTTAGTAGTAAAAAAAAAGCAACACTAGGTAGAAATTTTATATGCTAATGATACATGTGATGCATGCTAGAGCATGTAGATACTGAGCATGAGTGCCAACTACGGGTCCCCTTTGCATACTTTACCTCACCAGTATTTTATGAATATGTGTATATAGCTCCCATAAAGGGAATTCCCTTAGTGCACTAGCGGCTGCCTCTAGCTTTGAACAATCCACTCTGCCTCTCAGAATTTACTGTCACTTTGCAATAAACTTCTTTACCTACTTTTACTTTGAGCTTGCTCTCAAACTCTTTTGTGCGGCAAAATTAAGAACTGGAACCTACCCATTGACAATACCTCAACATATTTTAAGTTTTATTCAATTTATATTACAGTTTATTGAAGTGATTTTCAAACTTATGTAAAGTTCGAATGCTAAGAAAAAATTTCAAACTAACAAGAATCTTTTCAGTAACCCAAGGATTCCACAGGTAACTGTTGGAGAAATATTTCTTAAAGAAACTGACATATGTGTTCCATTAAAAAAAAGTCTCACTGGGAAAAAAAAAAAAAAAAACACGGAGATCACAGATCACAGTTCAGGACTGATGAGACAAATTTGAGGGTTAGAATACCAGAGAGCAGATCACTATGTACAGAAGAATCTCAAAAAATTTGCATGTGCTTTTTGCTTAGTCTTGCTTTGGCTATGCTGGCTCTTTTTTGGTTCCATATAGATTTTAGAATTTTTTTTTTTAATTCTGTGAAGAGTGATGGTGGTATTTTGATGGGGATTGCTTTGAATTTGTAGATTGCTTTTGGCAGTATGGTCATTTTCACAATTTTGAGTCTACCCATCCATGAGCATGGAATGTGTTTCCATTGGTTTGTGTTGTCTGTGATTTCTTTCAACAGTGTTTTGTAGTTTTTCTTGTAGAGGACTTTCCAATCCTTGGTTAGGTATATTCCTAAATATTTTAATTTTTTGCAGCTATTGTAAAAGGGGTTGAGTTCTTGATGTGATTCTCTGCTTGGTCGCTGTTGGTGTATGTAAGACCTACTGATTTGTGTACATTAACCTTGCATCTGGAAATTTGATCAGTTCTAGGAGCTTTCTGGAGGAGTCCTTAGGGTTTCCAAGGTATATGATCATATCGTCAGCAAACAGTGACAGTTTGACTTCCTTTTTACCAATTTGGATGCCCTTTGTTTCTTTCTCTTGTCTGATTGCTCTGGCTAGAACTTCCAGTACTATGCTTTTGAATGGCAAAAGGAACAGTCGGCAGAGTAAACACACAACCCACAGAGTGGGAGAAAATCTTCACAATCTATACATCTGACAAAGGATGAATATGCAGAATCTACAACTTAAACAAATCAGTAAGAAAAAAGCAAACAAACAATTCCATCAAAAATTGGGCTAAGGACATGAATAGACAATTCTCAAAAGAAGATACACAAATGGCCAACAAACATGAAGAAATGCTCGACATCTCTAATGATCAGGAAAATGCAAATCAAAACCACAGTGCAATACTACCTTACTCCTGGAAGAATGCCCATAATAAAAAAATCAAAAGACAGTAGATATTGGCGTGGTTGCATTGAAGAGGGAACACTTCTACACGCTGGTGGGAATGTAAACTAGTACAGCCACTCTGGAAAACAGTGTGGAGGTTCCTTAAAGAATTAAAAGTAGAACTACCATTTGATCAGCAATCCCACTACTGGGTATCTACCCAGATGAAAATAAGTCATTATTTAAAAAAGATACTTGCATGCACATGTTTATAGCAGCACAATTCATAACTGCAAAATTGTGGAACCAACCCAAATTGCTCATCAATCAATGAGTGGATAAACAAACTGTGATATCTATCTGTCTATCTATCTATCTATCTATCTAGACATAGATATCTATCTAGATAGACATAGATACAAAATGGAATATATATATAATGTGATATATAATGGAATATATATAATGTGATATATATAATGGAATATATGATATATATAATGTAATATATATGATAGATATAATGTGATATATATATATGTGTGTATATATATAATGGAATACTATGCAGCCATAAAAAGGAATGAATTAACAGCATTTGTAGTGACCTGTAGTGAAGTAACTCAGGAATGGAAAACCAAACATAGTATATTCTTACTGATATGTGAGAGCTAAGCTATGAGGACACAAAGGCATAAGAATGATGCAATGGACTTTGGACATTTGGGGGGCAAAGTAGAAGTGGGACGAGGGATAAAAGACTACAAATATGGTACAGTATATAGGGCTCTGGTGATAGGTACACCAAAATCTCACAAAACAGCGCTAAAGGACTTACTAATTAACCAGATTCCACCTGTAACCCCATAACTTATGGAAAAAAAATTGCATGTGGTCCCCTTGTGTCCCTAGCCAAATTATAAGCTATCTATGTGCAGGATGAGACTCTGGAAAACCTGGAAGAAAATATTCTAGGCTGTGTCTTAGAAATGTGAGTACTCTAACCCTAGGGAAAGGGCTACTCTGGACCTGCCCCAACCAGGCCTCAAATAAACCTAGACTGAGCAATCTGATTGAACTGTAATTTTACTGCCCACAATAAGAAAATTCTAGCATCTTTAAAATTCTACAAGCTAGACTCTAAACAAAGTAGCATTTGAAATATTGAATATTTCAATTATAAATCACTAGACATGTAAGAATGAGAAAATTGAGACACATAGTGAGACAAAAACTTGTCAATAGGATGAGACAAAGAGATAGATTGGATGGTGCAATTAGCATTCAAGGAATTTTCCACAGCCTTCATAAAAACACCAAAAATTTCAACAAAAAAGACCCACAAAATGATTGAATAAAAGGGCATTTTCAGGAAAATAATAGAAACTTTAAGGAACCAAATAAAAATTCTAGAACTAAAAAATAAAATATATAAAATTTCACTAGATAAGATAAACAACAAATTTGATACCACAGAATAAAAAATCAGTGAACTTGAAAATAGAGCAATTAAAATTATGCACTGTGAAGAAGGATGAAAAAAGAGAATAGATTGTCAATGACCAGTGGGACAATATTAAGTAGTCTAACATGTGTATTTAAAACTCAGACTTACAAGAGAAAAATTGTATAGGAAAAAATGTTTGAAGAAATATACATAAAATTTGACAAAATCGAATTTATGCAATTTATTTTGTATTTTAATGTATAAATATCTATTTCATATTTTAAATATGCATAAATGTTAAAAAAATAAATATAAGTTAAAGCACGTATGAAGATTTGACTATATTAAAATCAGACAGGATAGAGATTTAGAAAATACAAATGCATAAATATGTAATTGGTAAAATTAAAAAACAAGTAAGTGATACAACCTGTAAACACTAAATATAAAAAAAGCTTATTTGCCTTTACTAATACTAGACAAAATACACTTTAAGAAAAATAATATTACCAGAGATAAAAACATACATTCCATAAGGATAAAAGCACTTTTTATCAGAAAGATATAATAATCTTAAATGTATATGAAAGTAAAGACAGGTATTCAAAATACAGAAGTAAGCAGACAGAAATTAATTTGGAGATTTCAATAACACTCTTCCAGTGATTTCTAAAAGAAATAGATGAAAAATCACTGCAGTTTAAAAACATTGAACAAAATAAACCTACCTAACCTTACTGACATAGATCAAAACATCATAAAACAACAGAATAGTTATTCTTTATAACTACATATAGAAAATCCACTGGCAGATCATTTGTTGAGCCATTTAAGAAGTTTCCATATATTGCAATATATTCTGATTTTCAAACATATGTATTTTAATTCTAATTATATTGTTTGATGTCAATAGCAAAAATTCATCTTTACATTCCCCAAATATTTGAACTTTAAGTAACCTGCCACTAAAGAACTCATGTGTTAAGAAACTAAAAAGGAAAGTACAAAATTTTGAATTGAATGAAGTTTAAACACAACATGTCAAACTTTGTAAGTTACACAAAAGTAGTGGCTGGAGAAAATTTTTGTATTAGATTATAAGAATGGTTTGAAATCAATCATGCATGTTCCACCCTAAAAAGCCAATAAAATTTGGCAAAATCTTTAATGCAAAACAGCAAAAAAATTACTGTGTTTTAGCACACAGCTAAAACAAAGTACTTAGAGGATATAAATAATAAAATAGTAAGTGTGGCCATCAAGAAAATAGCAAATGAACAAATAGAAGATATAAAAGAAAAAATGTTATTTAAAAAGATGTAAGCAATTTTATAAGCCATTAATATGAATTAGACAAAAAGAGGGAAAAATTACCAGTACAGGCAATGAAAGAGAAAAGGACGTCACTTCAGAAAAGGACGTCACTTCAGATTGTTACAAGCTTAACAAAGGATTATATCAGAGATTTATGTCAAAGATTTGACATCTTGGATAAAATGGAAAATTTCCTTGAAAGACATTATTACCAGATTGACACAAGAAATAGATCAGGTGAAGTCTTTACCTTATAAAACAATCTTGAGAAAGAATGATATTGGGAAAATTATGCTATCTGATTTCGGGACTTACTCTAAAGCTATGGGAATCAAGACAGTCTTGTAATAGCATAAGCACAGATAAATGGTTCCCTGAAAGATATAAGAAATAGACTCATACTGTCATTCAATTTTTAACAGATACATGGAAGAAATTTAACGGTTCAAGAACATTTTTTCAGTAAACACTGGTAGAACAGCTTCATATCCATGTGGAAAAAGTAAATTTGTTGCTACCTTGAAATATACTGTAAAAATTAATTTGAGATGAATCATATACCTAAATATTAAACTAAAGTTATAAAGTTTATAGAATACAACATTATGACTGTATCTTCATAACATAGTTGTGAATATTTCTTAAAAAGACCACAGAAGGCAAACTTAAAAAAAATTCTAAATTGTATTTCAACAAAAATAGTAAAAATTTATCTCATCAAAAGTACAGTTTAGAAGTGAATAGGTAAATTATAGAAATAATATAATATATTTATGTAATGAAAAACCTATCTACATAATATATGTAGAACCCCTACAACTTAATAAGACAAATAAAAACAACAAAAATACTTAAAAAAGTTTAAGAAGTACTTTACAAAATATGATATAGAAATGAACAAATGTTAAATAAGCATCTGAAAAATGATCCATGTCAATAGTCATCGGGGTCATGCCAATTAAAACTACAATGAAATATTACAGGCTTGCCAGAATGGATAGTTCTAAAAAGACTAACATCACCAGATGTTAGCATCTATACGGTACAACCAATGGGAGTGTAAAATAGTATAAAATCTTTGATAACTGGCTTTGAATTTTTTAATAAAGTTATACATAAACCTACCCTATGACCCAGGAATTCCATTTCAATTAACTCAGGATAATACAACATACATCAACAAATAGATTATGTGGATGTTCATATGAAGCTTAATATTCATAATAGGCAAAGCTTGAAACATATCAATTATCTTTTGAAAAGAAAGAAATTTAGAAAAATAAGTATTATGCAATGTCAGTAAAAAGGAATAAACAACAAATGTACCCAAAAACATGTTTAAACTTCAAAAAAATATTTTACAAGAAACCAGATTCAAGTGCATGTATTTATGATTCTATGAATACATTTATGTGAATGAATTTCTCGAATAACATGAAAACTAGTCACCTGTGTTAGTGGCCTCTACTTGAGGGTGACCAGGTTTGACTGGGAAGGAGCCGGAAGAACTTTCTGGAAAGATAAAAATTTTCTATCTCTTCATAAGGTTGTAGATAACATCCGTGTACACATATATTTATTTGTCAAAACATTTCAAACTGTACACATATCTGTGCATTTTTAATCTTTGTAAATTATATAAAACTTCTTATGGGAAGATTTAGCTATCCTCCTAGTATATTTTGTGAGTACATGCTTTCTTTCTTCTTTTTCCGTAAGAAAGAAATAAAAATCTATTTATTTGTATTTTTTAGGGACAGAGGACTTTAGGGACAGGAATATTATATTAACAGCTAACATAGTAGACAGATGATGCACCTTTATCGAAATAATAATTTGATTTAATTAGAAATTTCAGAAAGCATTACTTCATACCAAAATACGAAAGCATTACTTTCCATTGTTGATTCCAACAATGGAAATCTCAGGCAGCATGCAAAGGATGTAAGTGGATGGGAAGAAAATGGTGGTTTGCTGAAGTCAGCTAGAACTGGCTTGGGAGAAGCTGTTATCCACATTCTATCCCAACTACTCATTTTGTGACTTCACTTTGGAAGCTTTAAATTGCCGGAGTGGGAGTATTCACATAATGGAAAATGGAAAATATTACCAATCAGAGCTGCTGCTCACTCACCCAATGACCCTCTTTGGAGAGTCTGCTTACCAGAACACTACTGAAAGTGAAATTGTCTTGCTCTATCTTATGTCACAACAGTTATACAGTAATTTATCAGATTTCACACATTCAGGAGAATAACTAGAGTAGTTAATGTCTTTGGAAAATACAAATATCATGTAGATAATGTCTAAAGATAGTATCATATAAGTTTACACAGGATAATAAGAATACCAAAATTTACAAAAAAAAAAAAAAAATTACCCAACTATGAACTATAAAGCCAAAGTGAAAAAGAATTTTTAAACCAGTACAGTGGCCGAATAACAAAGAGCAATACTATTATAACAACAATAACATCAATGACAACAAAAAAGTGAAATAGTTTGAGGGTTAGGCAGAACCCTGATGTGGGCAATCATGGGAAAGAGCTTGAATCTTAGAGAAAAACTTTAATAAATCTTCAGATTTAAGCTAATCAGGTTTACCCTCACTTAGAGCAGAACACACTTGAAAGAATTATTTTTCAGTACATAGAAAAGGGCATAGAAAAATGATATATCTTTGATAAGCTTTCAGAAAATCAAAGTAGGCCCTCAAAACTCATCTGAGTATCAAATTTGCTTTAAATTTTGATGGGCTCATCTCTCTGTGGCCTAAAGCAACTCAATAAAAAAAAAGATAATGTAATGCTGCTGAACAATATGAAAACACAATCCTAGCAGGTAGATCACATTTGAAGTCATTCAATATTTGAGGTTGAATTTCTGGCATCATAAGAAAGTATGATTTATGGTCACCAATGGAATAGAAGATTCTTAAATTTACCAGTTTTTGTCCTTATGAATTGTCAAGATTCTCAAGTTTACTAGTTTTGTTTTTAAGAATAACATCTCACTGGAAAATTCCAACTCATTATATAAAATTTTTATTTTTAAAAATTATATAAATAATACACTAGAAATACAGTTTCAATTTTTAAATTTTATAATTTTTCATAGGAAAATCCTAAACCTATTCTGATACATTAATACACTTTCTACATTATCCATTCTTGCTCCCAAACAATATGATTCACAAATCATCAACAGCCTCATAAATAGGAAATAAAGATGTACCTAACATTATGAGATAACATCTTAGCGTTAGCCACTCTTTTAGCGTAAATGTTTGAGAAAATTAATGTTTGTTTTGAAAGGTTTTTTAAAATAATGCATATTGGTTATCACTGAAAAATTCCTTTTGATGTCAAATTACATTTTTTTTTTTACTAGAAAGTACCCTTTCCATAAAAATAAGATAATTAAGACATGTTTATAAAGTAACATTTTTTCCTTAACTGAAACATTGATTTAGAGGTTAAAGAGATCTGGTCTACCTCATTTATACCAAGGACTACTTATAGATTTTTTACATGAGAAAAGGAAATAACAATATTCTACAATCCAGCAGGTTTATGTTTCACTCTGTCTCTCATTTCTCAGACGAAAGGATGACTGAGATTACTGAAATTTATCTGAGAGTTGTGAAAAAATGGAGGGAGAAAACCCTAGAGTATTAAGGAATATCTCATTTGACTATGAGACTAATTTCAGAATTATTATAAGATATTCATCTTCTGTTTTTATTCTTAATTTCAAGCATCATCTGACCAATTTAAATTACGTAAAGAGGAGACACCAAGTGACAATCATGCAATTTACTACCCAAATAGAACTTGAGGCTAAGAAGAAGGCCGCAGTTTCCCTAGAGTCAGTTTTCCTGTCCCCAAGTGCATGACCAATCGAACCACCTAAAATATCTCACATAGGGTTAAAGTACCATCTCCTAGATGTTAAATATAAGTTATTTCATTTATTGATTTATTTAAGTAATCAACAAATTTTTATTAAACAATGTTTATGTACTCATCAACATTGTGTAGATAAATAACAGAATCTTCCTACAAGAATCATGAGCTTCAAACTTAATAACAGCTGCAGTATTCAACAGACTGTCTTTCAATTAATTAGCTGGGAAAACATGGACAGCTTACATGGTCAAATGAAAAATCATAAAGGTATCATATTTAAAGTTACTGTAACACTATGATTATATGAATCTATACATAAGCATACTTTATTCCTACCTTCAAGAAACTTGTATTCCAGAATTCGAGATTTTTTTTTTTTTTTTTCTCTCCGAGACTGAGTCCTGCTCTGTGGCCCAGGCTGGAGTGCAGTGGCAAGATCTTGGCTCACTGCAACCTCCACCTCCCCTGTTCAAGCAATTCTCCTGCCTCAGCCTCCCGAGTAGCTGTGATTACAGGTGCCCGCCACCATGCCCAGCTAATTTTTGTATTTTTTAGTAGAGACAGGGTTTTGCCATGTTGGCCAGGCTGGTTTTGAACTCCTGACATCAGGTGATCCGCCCACCTCAGCCTCCCGAAGTGCTGGGATTAGAGGCGTGAGCCATCGCACCTGGCCAAATTTGAGATTTTGTAGGAGAGAGATAATAAATATAGTTTCTACCTTCAAAAATCTTACATTGTAGAATTAATTTTTTTTTGTAGAAAAGAGATGATACATACTAAAGTTTATTTATTTATTTATTTATTTATTTATTTATTTATTTATTTATTTGACATTCAGTTAAAACTAGCTTGAGTCCTTATACTAACATCCCTGAAAATTATTTGGGTGTAGGATGGAGACGCTGGCACGTTTCTTAGTCATTTCTGATTCCAGTTTTATCTGAACTTCTTAGTTATTATTTCATATTGCTTCCGTTTTCATTTTTTTCTCTTCAAATTGATCATGTGTGGACCACAAACCATTTTCTTTACATGTCTCCAAACTCCATTAACATACTAAAAGTATTTCAGGTAAAGCAAAAGAAAGAAGGGAACGCATATAGACCAATACTCCTTTGCAGTTCCCATCTGAATCAAGTTACTGAAAAGAAGAAAAGAGGCCATGAAAATAGATAAGTTCACTGATTCATGTTAAGAGTGAATAGAGTTCAACATGTTTATAAAGACCTACTTGACATTTTTCTCTTTTTATTTATTCTTTTCTTCTTATTTCTTCTTCTTCCTCTTTTTATTATTTTTTTTTAATTATAGACAAAGTTTCATTATGTTGCCCAGGCTGGAGTGCAGTGGCTATTCACAAGCACATCCCACTACTGATCAGCATGAGTGGTTTTCAACAGTTTTGTAGACAAATAATATTGGCTTAGCAGTTAGGTAGCAAGCAGTATAAAAACTACTATTGGAAGATAGGAAGATGGTGATTCATAATACATATTGTTAATCCATTGCAAAACACTTAACAAAATATTTGAACTGTGATATTTTGGATGGCAGATAATTAGGATGATCATATTTCAGCTTGCTTAAATGACATATACTCATAATGGTTCATAAAATATATATCAATCAGAATGTAAATTAAGCAGCATTTATTGGATACAAACTTGGAACAATGACTTGTGTCCTTCTAGACATTAGATTAAAGTCCCCCGAAAATTAAAGTCTATGTTCTAATGAGTTTATAAATAGTAAGAAAGAGCTACATAGTGGTCTGCACAAAGCATAATGGATGCATATATGTAGGTTTATCAGTTTCAAGCAAAAAGTTGAATAGATTTTGTGAGTCTCATTGGAAGTATTCATTGGCATTTACAGTTCTTTTCCTGTGGTGGGGGCACATGGCAGGATTTCATTTGTCTAATCTCATCTTTTGAAGTTATGTGTGGCCATGTGACTTACTTTGCCAATGAAATGTAAAGACAATGATATACGTAATTTCCTGATAGGGGCTTTTTTCCATCTAGCATGTGACTCATCATGCTTCATCTCCCTTGTTCGAGTAAACATGGAAGCCAATTTTCTTAGTCTGGCTTTGCTGCTACAACAAGATACATAAGAAAGGATGTTTTATAAAGAACAGAAATTAAATTTAGTGTGTGGAGATGGTGTGTTTTCTGCTTTCATCATGATGGCTTGCTGCTGCGTCCTCCAGAGGGCAAGTACACTGCACATTTACACAGCAGAAGAGATGGAAGGGGCAAATTCACACTCTCAAGCCTTTTTATAAGGGCTTATATCAAGTCCTTTTGTAAGGTACTAATCTCATCAATGTACATGGCCTAATCAACTCCTAAAGACCCCACCTCGTAATATTGTTGTATTTGGGATTAAGTTTTAACGTTAATTTTGAAGGGGACGTAAACATTCAGACTATAACACCCGTGTTCAGGTAGGGCTTCCAGCAGCTGTGTCCTCAAGTCTCTCTATTAGTTTGCTGGGACTTCCATAACAAAATGTCACAAGAGAAATTTATTTTTTCTGGCAGTTATGGAGACTATCAGGCCAATATAAGGTGTTGGGAAGTTTGGTTTCTCCTGAAGTCTCTCTTTTTGCCTTTTCACTGCCTGTCACATAATACTTCCTCTGTGCAGGTACAGCCCTGGTATCCCTACCTGTTCTTATTAGGGCATCAGTTACATTGCATTAGGACCCATCCATATGAGTTCATTTAACAATATTTGCCTCTCTAAACTTGCTATATCCAAATTCAGTCACATTCTAAGGTGTACTGGGGGTTAATATTTCAGCATATGAATTTAGGGGCATTCAATTCAGTCCATAATATTCTCAAAGAGGGTGAGGGTTTTGCTGCCAACCAATAATGTATAAGCAACATACTAGAGAAACAAACTGATATTGCTTTAAATCATAAAAAATTTAGGGTTACTTTTTTAAACCAAAGCATAAACTTGCCCATTTTTTTCTCACATAGAATATATTATATAGACGTTGGGTGTTGCTGTAACAGAATATTAAGATATATGATATTGAATCATTAGTCTTTTTAGACAGTAAAAAAATAGCTACATTTGGGATATAGAAAGATGGTGATCTTGGTTATACACTTGAAAATATTTTATAAAACTCTCATCTACTATGATTTAGACAGTAGATAATTAGGGTAAGCTTCCATCCAAATTTGCTTAGTACAGTCTTAGTTAATACCAGTATTACCATTTATAGAATTTCCTTTTCTCTCAAAAGTGTTCTGGTTTGAGCAACATATCATATAGTCTCCCTCCAGATAATTTAGTTCACAGCTATTTCATTTTATTGGAAGAATTTAGAAAATAAAATATTGCTGGTTAAATATGATAGCTATTAAAATAAACATATGGATTCAGAAATGAATCATCTACTTTGCAAGCAGAAATGAAATGAATTAGACAAATTCCAGAAATTCACGGCCTTGAAGTATTGAAAAATCCAGTTATTTCAGACATAATTAGAGAGAAATTTGAGAAATGCTTTGAGTCATTAAATTCCAATGTAAAAGTCAAACTGAAAGTAAAATCATTGAATTTATTCTTAAAAACTGAACGAATGAACAATATTCTTGAGAAAAAAGGCCCAAATATGGGTGTGAAAGTGAGTCAAATGTTTCTCTTAGAAATGGCAAATGTGAGAAATGAGACCAAATTAATGAATTTTTATTAAAAAAAGATTCAAGTTAGTCATTCTAATTAGAGAGAAAGAAAAGCTTTGTGCAACAAAACACAAAATATATCAATTGCAAAAGAAGATTCAAAAATATGAATATATGAATGGTACCTGGAGATGATTGGAGTTAAAAAAATAAGGATCCCACGAAGTGTCTAAGAGGTGCACTGATAATCACATGTAGGAATAAAAATCCAAGAATGTCCAAGACCTGAAAAAGCCATGGAATCCCCAAATCTTCTAGCATAATAAACCAAAGATGACATACCCTCCATCACCCACTTCATATGTGTTCAAAGATAATAGGAAAGGAAGAATTCTATTGGATGTGGAGCATAGGTCCATGGTTGAAAGTAACATGGAAACTACAGAACTTCATTACTGTATTAGTCCATTCTCACATTGCTATGAAGAAATACCTGAGACTGGGTAAT
Source organism: Homo sapiens (assembly GCF_000001405.40). Lineage (NCBI taxonomy): Eukaryota > Metazoa > Chordata > Mammalia > Primates > Hominidae > Homo > Homo sapiens. The sequence continues at coordinate 85,018,123 of NC_000005.10, forward strand.
TTATAAAGAAAAAAAGCGTAATTGACTCATGGTTCTGTAGACTTACAAGAAGTATGGCTATGGATGCCTCAGGAAACTTACAATCATGGCAGAAGGTGAAGAGGAAGGAATCACCTCTTACGTGGCAGAAGCAGGAGGAGGAGAAAGAGAAGGGGAGGTGTGCCACACTTTTAAACAACCAAATCTAGTGAAAACTCACTATCCTGAAAACAGCAAGGGGGCAGTCCACCTCATATGATCCAATCACCTCCCACCAGGCCCCTCCTCCAACACTGGGGATTACAACTGGACATGAGATTGGGGTGGGCATACAGAGCCAGACCATATCATTTAACATTGAGTTCGATGTTAATGTCTAAAACATACTTTAGTTTGATATCTTTTGAGAAAGAGAATTTCTTTTTTTTTTTAGAGAAGAAAATTGTGTAGTGAATATTTTGTGATAGATGATCAGTCTGTGGCAGACATTTGGACATATTCTAATTATCTTCTTTCCAAGCATTTTCTGTCATTACATTCTGTGTCTACATAAATTTTGGTATGGCCATAAAAATTTCATTGGCCTATAAAATATGCTTGGATGTGAAAAAGCATTTTGTATATCCATACACATTAAGTTTTGTGTGCTTGTGAAATTATGTGTTTATGATAACTTCCTTGACCTGTCATTGCTGGATCCGAGGGAATGCATATTATGATAGGATCAAATAAATATTGCCAAATTACTCTCCAGAAAGAGTATACTAACATAACACAATATAAAGTTCAAGAGAGTATCTATTGCACTGCATTATCTCTTGTATTGCACATTGTGTGTATGTGTGTATACACATATCTTTGTCAATACAATAGGCAATATAGACTTTCATAAATATTCATTTTGTTTTTACTGAAGTAAACATTCTAATATATTTTGGATGATTTATATCCATTATTTTGTGAATTGCTATTCCTTTGTTTTGTCTGTTTTTCTTTTGTAATAACGTGGTTAAGAGCACATGCTTTTACTATAACATGAGTCAAGTTTTGAATTTTCGTCTCTGTATTGTAACGGATTCTGTGGCCTTATGTATTTTACTTAAAATTTCTAAAGGCTCAGATCAGAGCCACTCAGGGACCCAAGATGACAGGTGTTCAATCTTAATACATGATTCATAGTCACCAAAGCAGAGAAAGGGAAAATTGTGAATTGTATACTGGCTGTTAAAGATACCACCTGGACATGTTATATATCACTTCTATTCACATTATGCTAATCAAATCGAGTCAGACGGCCGAACTCTCTTTCAAAGGGGGTAGGGATGTACAATCTTTTCTTCTGTCATTCGTTTCTGAACAGCCCCAGCAATCACCACAATCTTCCTTTATATTTAAACATAGCATCAAGCTCAATATCCAGCATTCCTGGTTGATGTCCTACGGCCTCTTCATGGTGGAGTGACAGGTGTAGTCTCTATACCAGATCTGGACAAGGATTCCCATGAATCAGAGACCTATTCATTAACAATACAAGTTATCTATCTCACTTATTCAATATTAAGTGTAAAATAGGAATAGTATAACTGCAAAAACATGGCCTTATTGGGAAAGTAGAAAGATCTAAGACAAGCAATAGGAGGCAGAAAAAAAAATACAGACAAATTCTGAAACCTAATGAGGTTCTTCTCCTCTGAGAGTAGAGAACGTTTCTAGATTATTGTTTCATCTGCTTCCTGGGATGAGTATCTATTGTTTCCTGTGATTCGAGCTCCTCCCTCTTGAAGATTTTTCCTTGGCCACATTGAAAATATGCATTGGAGAATGTACTTTCTTTGGCAGGTGAGTAGCATTATTTAAACCTCATCCGGCCAGTAGATATAGAATACTCCAAGTTTCTTTACATTCAGGCTAATGTTTCTTTTGACACCAGTTTAGACTCCCTCAATATATATTTGATTCTTTTATATTTGATTCTAGTTAGCTGTATATGCCAATAGACAACCCACAATTACTTCTTAAACAAAACTCTTACATTTGCTTTATTTCTTTATTTCCTCAGCTTATCCTTCTCTCTCTCTCTCTTCCTCTCTCTCTCTCTTTTCTGCCTCCACAACTTTCTTTCTCAGTGTAATTTTAGTTAAGCATACCAAGTTTAATGATGAAACACTTTTTTTCCTCGAACCCCAGGAAACTTTTGGTGATTTGGATCTTTCCTCTAAAATACATTAGTAAATTATGAATTTTTAATAATTGATGTGAAGGCTTTATTCTTGATTTAATCTTAGTCTTATTTTTTTTTCCTTTTGAAACTTTTTTTTAACATTTATTTTAAGTTCAGGGGTACAAGTGCAGGTGTGTTATATAGGTAAACTTGTGTCATGGGTTTTTTTTGTACAAATTATTTTATCACCCAGGTATTAAGCCTAGTACTTATTTTTTCTGATCCTCTCTCTCCCCCGACCTTCCATCTTTCAAAAGGCCCCAGTGTGTGTTGTTCCCCTCTATGTGTTTATGTGTTCTCATCATTTATCTCCCACTTGGAATTGAGAACCTGCAATGTTTGGTTTTCTGTTACTGTGTCAATTTGCTAAGGATAATGGACTCCAGCACCATCTATGTCCCTGCAAAATAATGATCTCTTTCTTCTTTAATAGCTGCATAGTATTCCATGGTGTATATTTACCACATTTTCTTTATCCAGTCTATTGTTTGTGGGCATTTAGGTTGTGCATTAGTCTGTTTAAATGCTGCTGATAAAGACATGAGACTGGGCAATTTACAAAAGAAAGGAGTTTAATGGACTTACAGTTCCACATGGCTGGAAAGGCCTTACAATTATGGCAGAAGGTGAAAGGCACATCTTACATTGCAGCAGACAAGAGAAGAGAGCTTGTGCAGAGAAACTCTTGTTTTTATAAGCATCAGATCTCCTGAGACTTATTCACAATCACAAGAACAGCACGGGAAAGACCTGCCCCCATGATTCAACTACCTCCCACCAGGTTCCTCCCATGACATGTAGGAATTGTGAGAGTTACAATTCAAGAAGAAATTTGGGTGGGGGCACAGCCAAAACATATCATTTCATCCCTGGCACCTCCCAAATCTCATGTCCTCACATTTCAAAACCAATCATGTCTTCCCAACAGTCCCTCAAAGTCATAAGTAATTTCAGCTTTAACTCAAAAGTCCACAGTCCAGAGTCTCATCTGAGACAAAGCAAGTCCCTTCCACCTATGAGCCTGTAAAATCAAAAGCAAGTTAGTTACTTCTTGTCTACAATGGGGGCACAGGCATTGGGTAAATACAGCTGTTACAAATGGGGGAAATTGGCCAAAACAAAGGGGTTACATGCCCCATGCAAGTACATAATCCAGCGGGGCAGTCAATTCTTAAAGCTCCAAAATGATTTCCTTTGACTATGTCTCACATCCAAGTCACACTGATGCAAGAGGTGGGCTCCCATAGCCTTGGACAGCTCCACCCTTGTAACTTTGCAGGGTATACCCCTACTCCTGGCTGTTTTTACGGGCTGGTGTTGGGTGTCTGCAGCCTTTCCAGGTGCACAGTGCAAGCTGTGAGTGGATCTATTATTCTGGGGTCTGGCAGATGCTAGCCCTCTTCTCACAGCTCCACTAGGTGGTGCCCCAGTAGGGACTCTGTGTGGGGGCTCCAACCGCACATTTTCCTTCCACATTGCCCTACAAGAGGTTATCTATGAGGGCCCTGCCCCTGCAGCAAACTTCTGCCTGGGCATCCAGGAGTTTCCATACATCTTCTGAAATCTAGGCAGAGGTGCCCAAACCCCAATTCTTGACTTCTGTGCACTCTCAGGCTCAACACCACGAGGAAACTGCCAAGGCTTGGGGCTTGCACCCTCTGGTGCCACTGCCTGAGCTCTACATTGAGCAACGGGGACGCAGGGTTCCAAGTCCCTAGGCTGTATACAGCACAGGGATCCTGAGCCCGGCCCATGAAACCACTTTTTCCTCCCAAATCTCCAGGCTTGTGTTGGAAGGGGCTGCTGTGAAGACCTCTGACATGCCCTGGAAACATTTTCCCCATTGTCTTGGGGAATAACATTTGCCTCCTCATTACTTATGCAAATTTCTGCAGCCAGCTTGAATTTCTCCTCAGAAAATAGGATTTTCTTTTCTATCACATTGTCAGGCTGCAAATTTTCTGAACTTTTATGCTCTGCTTCCCTTATAAAACTGAATACCTTTAACAGCACCCAAGTCACCTCTTGAATGCTTTGCTGCTTAGAAATTTCTTCCACCAGATAACCTAAATCATCTCTTTCAAGTTCAAAGTTTCACAAATCTCTACAGCAGGGCAAAATACCACCAGTCTCTTTACTGAAACATAACTCCAGTTCCAGTTTGCTCCAGTTCCCAACAAGTTCCTCATTTCTATCTGAGACCACCTCAGCCTGGATTTCATTGTCCATATTGCTATCATCATTTTGGTCAAAGCCATTCAACAAGTCTGTAGGAAGTTCCAAAGTTTCCCACATTTTCCTGTCTTCTTCTGAGCCCCCAAGCTCTTCCAATCCCTGCCTGTTACCCACTTCCAAAGTTGCTTCCAAATTTTGGGGTATCTACAGCAACACCCCACTCTACTGGTACCAATTTACTGTATTAGTTCATTTTCACATTGCTGATAAAGACATACCTGAGACCAGGCAATTTACAAAAGAAAGAGGTTTTATGGACTTACAGTTCTTCATGGCTGGGAAGGCCTCACAATCATGGCAGAAGGTGACAGACACATCTCACATGGTAGCAGACAAGAGAATAGAGCTTGTGCAGGGAAACTCCTAGTTTTAAAACCATCAGATCTCCTGAGACTTTTTCATTGTCAAGAGAAAAGCCCAGGAAAGATCTGCCCCCATGTTTCAATTACCTCCCACCAGGTTTTTCCCATGACATATGAGAATTGTGGGAGTTATAATTTAAGATGAGATTTGGATAGAGACACAGCCAAACCATACTGGGTTGATTCCATGTCTTTGCTATTGTGAATAGTGCTGCAGTGTATATGCCTGTGTGTGTCTTTATAATAGAAAAAGTTATACTTCTCTGGGTTTACCCAGTAATGAGATTTCTTGGTCAAATGGTATGTCTGTCTTCATGTGTTTGAGGAATCACCACACTGTCTTCCACAATGGCTGAACTGATTTACACTCTCAACAACAGGATATATGTGTTCCATTTTCTCCACAACCTCATTAGCATCTGTTGTTATTATTTTAAATAGTCACCATTCTGACTGGCATGAGATGATATCTCATTGTGGTTTTGATTTGCATTTCTCTAATGATCAGTGATGTCAAGCTTTTTTCATATGATTGTCAGTAGCATGTATGTCTTTTTTTGAAAAGTGTCTGTTCATGCCCTTTACCCACTTGTTTATGGGGTTGTATGTTTTTCTACTGTTAGTTTGAGTAGTTTTTGTATATGGTGTAAGTTAGTTAGTTTTTATATATGGTGTAAGGAAGGGTTCCAGTTTCAATTTTCTGCATATGATTAACCAGTTATCCAAGCACCATTTTTTGAATAGGGAATCCTTTCACCGTTGCTTATTTTTGTGAGATTTGTCAAAGATCAGATAGTTGCAGGTGTGTGGTCCTATTTCTGTGTTCTCTATTCTGTTCCATTGGTCGATGTATCTTTTTTTTGTAAAAGGTACCATGTTGTTTTGTTTGCTGTAGCTCTGTAGTATTGTTTGAAGTTGGGTAGCATGATGCCTCCAGCTTTGTTCTTTTTGCTTAGGATTGCATTGGCTATTTGGTCTCGTTTTAGTTCCATACTAATTTTAAAATAGCTTTCTCTAGTTCTGTGAAAAATGTGAATGATAGTTTATTAGGAATATTGTGGAATCTATAAATTGCTTTGGGTAGTATGGCCATTTTAATGATATTGATTCTTCCTATCCATAAGCATTGGATGTTTTTCTATTTGTCTGTGTTATCTCTGACTTCATTGAGCAGTGGTTTGTAATTCTCCTTGTAGAGATCTTTTGCCTCCATAGTTAGCTGTATTCCTAGATACTTTATTCTTTTTGTGGCAATTGTGAATAGGAGTTCTTTCCTGATTTGGCTCTCAGTTTGACCATTGTTGGTATATTGGAATGCTAGTGATTTTTGCATATTGATTTTGTATCCTGCATCCTGAGACTTTGCTGAAGTTGTTTTTCAGCTTACGAAGATTTTGGGCTGATGCTATGGGCTTTTCTAGATATAGAATCAGATCATCTGCAAAGAGGGATAGTTTCTTGTCTTCCTATTTGCATGCCCTTTATTTTTTTATCTTGCCTTATTGCCCTGGCCGGAACTTCCAATACTATGTTGAATAGGAGTGATAAGAAATAACATCCTTGTCTTGTGCCAGTCTTCAAAGGAAATGTTTCCAGCTTTTGCCCATTCAGTATGATGTTGGCTGTGGTTTTGTCATAGATGGCTCTTACTATTTTGAGGTATATTCCTTCAATATCCAGTTTACTGAGAGTATTTATCATAAATGACTGTTCAATTTTTATCAAAAGCCTTTCTCTGCATCTGTTGAGAAATCATGTCAGTTTTGTCTTTAGTTTTGTTTATGTGATGAATCACATTTATTTGTTTGTATTGAACCAACCTTGCATCCCCAGGATGAAGCCTACTTGATCATGGTGATAAGCTTCTTGATGTGCTGCTGGATTCAGTTTGCCAGTATTTTATTGAGGATTTTTGCATTGATGTTCATTAAGGATATTGGCCTAAAGATTCCTTTATGGCAGTATCTCTGCCAGGTTTTGGTATCAGGTTGATGCTGGTCTCATACAATGAGTTAGAGAGGAGTCACTCCTCCTCAAATGTTAGGAGCAATTTTAGTAGGAATGGTACCAGCTCTTCTTCATACATCCAGTAGAATTTAGCTATGAATCCCTCTGGTCCTGGGCTTTTTTTTTTTTTTTTTTTTGATTGGTAGGCTATTTATTACTACTTCAATTTCAGAACTCGTTTTTGGTCTGTTTAGGGACTCAATTTCTTCAGTTCAGTCTTGGGATGGTTTATGTGTTTAGGAATGTATCAATTTCTTCTAGATTGTCTAGTTTATGTGCATAGAGGTGTTCATAATATTTTCTGATGGTTGTTTGTTTTTCTTTGGGGTCAGTGTTGATATCCCCCTTGTCATTTCTGATTGTGTCTATTTCAATCCTCTCTTTTCTTCTTTTATTAGTCTAGCTCGTGGTCTATTTTATTGTTTTTTTCCAAAATCAGCTACTGGATTTTTTGAATGGCTTTTCATGTCACTATCTCCATCACCTCAGCTCTGATTTTGGTTATATCCTAGCTTTATATTTGTATTTTTAAAAATTTGTACCCAGGTCTTTATAAAGAAACTGTCTCTCTTATAAATACCATATGATCAGTTTGCTTTTTTTTTTGCTGTGGCAAACACTGCCTTATAATCAGACAGTTTATTCCATTGTATTTAATGTAGCTATTAATTTAAAAGGTTTCAATATTTTGTATTGCTGTTTGTTTTTTATATAGTCCTTCCCATTGCTCCTCCTTTCTTGCCATGCCACCTTTTATTTTGTTTTTAATCTTGTTGCTGTTGTTTGTGTGTTTTAACATTTCATTTTATCTACTTTCTTGGGTTGTAAACTGTATATTTTTACATACTTTTATGCTGGCTTTAGAAATATGAATATATATTGATCTTTAATGTATCATGTTATATTTCATATTAATATTATTACCTCACCATTATAAGGGCAAAAGAGTAATTTTACTCAGCCTCTCCCATTCTTCGTGTATCATTATCACTTATCTGAGTTCTATCTTAATACACTGTTAGCATTTTTGCTTTCACTAGTCAATTGAATTTTGGGGAACTCAAGACAAAAACATTTTTATACTTTCCACATATTTGTCAATGACAGTGCTCTTGGTATGCGCTTTTTAAAATCTGTATTTCCTTGTGGCATCATTACCCTTCAGCCTGGAGAATGTCTATGGCAGTATCTGCTGAACACTATTTCCATCAGCTAGTGCTTGAAAATATTTTTATTTTTGCTTTATTGTTAAAGAATATTTTTGTGAGATATCAAATTCTAGCCTGATGATTTTTGTTCCTTCATTTCCTTTTTTTAAAATGAAAAATCAGACATCATTTTTATGATTGGTTCCTAGATAATCTCTTTTTTTTCCTGGCTACTATTAATATTTTGTAGTTATTATAAACAAATTTTCAACAGTTTGACTATGAGATATCTGAAAAATGCTTCCTTAGTATTTATCCTGATTATGGATTACTAATTTTACTAAATTCATGAATTAATATTTTAACCAAAATTGAAAAGTTCTGTATCAATAGGTGACAGTATATATAATTTATAATTTGTTTTCTGCCAATAGTATTGTCAATATCTTTCCATATCCTCTCCTTCTTTCCTTTTGGGACTTAAATTTCACGATGTTATATTGTAAGGTATTGCCCTAGAGCTCATTCAGGTTATATTCCTTCATAGTTTTTTTTTTCACTTATATTTACTTAAAATTCAGCACGCAGAACTCATTCTTAAAATATGTTCCTTATTCCTAAGATATGGTCTATCTGATATTTTAACAGAGACCACAAAGTGTCTAACTTGGCAGGACTTGAACACTAAACCTTTACGCCATGCACTAGGCAATAACATTTATCACCTTCTGCCTCAAAACTATTGTTTTCTGTTGGACTTCTTGGAGTCACACACTACTAAATGTAAAATATAGTAGTCAGTACTTGGGAGGCTGAGGCAGGAGAATTGCTTGAACCCGTGAGGCAGAGGCTGCAGTGAGCCGAGATCGTGCTCCTGCACTCCAGCCTGGGAGACAGAGGGCGTGACTCCGTCTCAAAAAAAAAAAAAAAAATTAGTAGGCAGACAAACGTTAAATGAGAACATGTATTCAGATTGTTAAAGTTATCTCCCCGGCCTACAGACAAAATGAACTCCCATGGCAAATTGAAGTGCTCAGTGTTAAAACAGAACCAAGTGGACATGGCTGGGTGAAGGAGCAATCACATACTCTTTGTACTAAGAAAGATATTGTAGACCAGGCATGGTGGTTTACACTTGTAATACCAGCACTTTGGGAGGCCAAGAATTATTTGAGGCTGGAAGTTCCAGATGAGCCTGGGCCACATAAGGAGACCCTGCCTACAAAAAAGTAAAAGTAATTAGCCAGGCACAATGGCATGCACCTGTAGTTTCTATCTAGTTGGGAGACTGAGACAGGAGTATCGCTTGAGCCCAGGAGTTTGAGGCTACAATGAACTATGATTGATTGAGCTGCTGTACCTCAACCTGGCTGAAGATGTTGTAAAAGTATCACAGGATTTTTCGTTTTCTACAATCAAGCCAAATCAATTTCTGTTGTTGATGCCAAGATAAACTGTGGGCACAAATCTGCTCGCCCCACCAGTTTGAAAGAAACAAGAGACCTCTGGTTTTGGGCTTGGAAACCAACTAATCAGAACTTATCTGCCCTGGCCAATCAGGGTTCAGCTATATCAACCAGTCGCAACTCCACTGCACCAAACAATCAGAACCTAGGTAAGCTTAAATCCTGTATTTGCATAACAGACCTGATTGGGAAACTGGGCAGGGACTTCTGACATAAAATCCAAACCCTCTCTTTTTTTTCTTTGGAAAGTACATTCATTTTACACCCAAGACTGCGTCTCCCCAGTTTGCAAACTATTCACTGGAATACAAATCTAATTCCTTTTCAGAGAACCTTTGTTCACAAGACATAAGATCTTTCCTCTTAATTTCGCTACTCTCTGGCATTCTCCTTTCAATTATCAACCACACTGGTATGCCTGAATTCTGAGCCCATAAGATTCCCATTTACTACTTAAGCTATGGTCCCTATGTGCTTCATTGACTGGAATGTGCCTTCAATGGAAAAGTCAATTAAATATAGATTCACATGATATGTTTCCCTTTTTAAAAGATTCTATCTCCTCCACTTTCTTTATGCTTTTCATAAACTTGCAGTGCCATCAAGCAGTATTTTTATGGAGAGTGCAGAGTTTATTGTTACTGTCAGAAGAATTTTTAGTTTGATAAACCATTATTATCAGAATTAGAATTTTAGAAGTGTTTAAACATTAATATCAAATAGATAAAATAATGAATTCCTATGTATCCATAATCATGTTTCAGTAATAACTAATCTTCTATCAATATTATTTTATCTCTTTAATATTGTTTCATCTGCCTCTCCATCCACAATAACAATAATGTTTTATATGTCTCTACATTCACTATATTGCTTTATCTGCCTGTGCATCCATTATACACATTTATATTTTAGTTTTTTCTAGATTCTCTAAAGAAAATATCAGAAATTTTATCTTTTAACCTGAAAATATTATTATATATTTGTAAATAATAAAGACCATTTTTCTTAAGGTAGCCTTATCATAATCAGATCATTATAATATTCAGTTCATACTGACATCTGCTGAAAGGTCTTAAAAATTTTTCATACATGCATTATTTGATTGAGATCTGAGCAAGATCAAACTTTGCATTAATTTGATTGAAATGTCTCTTCCATCATTTTAATTTACCCATTAATAATTTCTCCACATTCCCCCTTTTTTATACATCTGATGTTGCTGTTGAATAAACCAGGTCAATTGTGTTTTAGCTTCCAGTTTTAAAAGATAGCTATCAAACTATCAAATATCAGAGACAATTTGTCAATGCCAAAATTCTCTTGATTTGTAAAAGCTAGGCTTATATGAAAGAACAATGATTTGTAATTTTATAAAAAGTTTGGCTTTTTCTATCAAGAACAAGTCCTGAAAAACAAAGAATATGAAGTTCTTATGCTGAACCCTGGAGTTAAGAATAAATGGTGTCACAAGATCTTGATTTGAGGTAATGAGCTGACACACAGGAAAAGGAAAATCTAAACATAATTCCCTTATGTTTTAAGGGAATCTAAGAACATATCTGTGTATTGATATCCGCAGTTTGGCTCAGGAAACAATCAACCTAGTAAATATTTCACAAAAATGTGGTGCCTAGGTTTGTACATTAACAAATATATTTTAAAAAGCATTTGGGTTAATGAGCAGAACATTCTTATAATGTTTTTTGGCTTTAGAGAAAATTTTAGAGATAATTTAAATGTTACAGAAAATTTTCCAAAAATCATCCTTGAGCTGCATCCCCACTGTCACCTATTTAGTCAAAGAGACTGTAAGCATGTTGTTGGATCCAAAGAGCGTAGGGTTTAGACAAGAAGTAAACAAATTATTTGGATTTCATGAAGAGGGGTTATAGAAAGTGTATACTAATATGTTGCAAAAGCCACAAAAGTCAACTCAAAGTATTACTCCAAAAACTTCTGCTGCTCGGGAGGACAGAGGATGACACTCAGACAAGATTCCCTTTCTCCAAAGTCAGGGCAATTTGTAACTACCACTGCTATGTTTGTGCTTAGACGGCTGTAAATGCAATAGGGAATGGGTGCAGTCTTAAACAATGCTTAGCAATCATAAGATAAATAAAAATTGACTGAGTTTCCCAGAACTCTGAAATCAGTGGAAACAGTACCCCAAAAGCTAAGTGAATTTCATTGCAGACCCACTTTGTGATTGCCAAAAATTTTTTTAAAAATACAGTTGGTATTATTAGAAAATAAGTCTCATTTCATAGTTTAAAATTAGGCATATTCAATGTCTGAAAAATCTGATAGAAATTTATACCTGTTTGCTCATGGAGAGAAATGCTGGTGCCTAAGTTTTTTTTTAATTCACATGTGCATTTCCTACTTAAAGTTGAGCTGAAAGACTTTTAATACAAATTCTTGATATCATTCTGGTTAAGACACTAAAAGCTTGGAAACAACTGTTCTATTTTCCTAAAAAAAGGAAATAATTTTTCGACTTCTTCATTCATCTATAGAGTTAAAATAAAAAGGTATTGGTAGGAAATTTAAAATGTACATATTTAGCTTTTTATTTTTCTTCCAAAAACTCTATCAAACTTATTAAAATTGTAAATAAAATAACAGCCAAAAACAAATTATAAACACATTGATCCCTTTCCATAGGCATTTATACACCAGCTGTTATTAATATTAATGGCTGTGTATTTATCATAAGCATGATCACTTTTTAAAATTTGACAGCAAATATGGGTATTAAAATGTCATGTTCTGTAACAATTCATTGTAAGCTTTTTATTTATTCCCTCTGAATTATGCCAAGATTCATTACAAAATCATTTGTTGAAATCCTGTAAGTCTGTTTTACCCCCACTCTCTTTCTTTTTCAGATGATCTCCTCTAGATGTGAGTGGTCAAGGGAATATTGACTCTATTCATTGACACTTAAATTGTGGCTTCTGGGTCAGTGCTCTGACTGAACCTGTCTTTCTTAATTATCATCTAGCAACCAGATGCCAAATGTATTTCCTGCTTCAGGCTGTATAGCTTTATTTCAGGGACCTCTGAGTCTTTTAAAAAAAATCATCAATTAAGATTGCTTTTGTCTAAATGGAAAAAACTCTCTCATATTACTTCTCTCTTTTAAAACAAAAAACAATTTCCATAAGCTCTTCAAGTAAGTTTAGTGAGTCCTGTATAAGAGAAAAAGTATTCTTTAGTTCTTTATTTTAGGGATGTCTCTTTAGATTTTTATAAATGTAGAGCCATTTAATGTAATATTAATATGTCATTCTGTGTTAGACTGAATATATACTGTTAGATAACTAGTTCTGCTGACTATGTGTAATTTAACTACACTACAAAATCTGTGGGATGCCAAAATAATGCAATTTTTAAAATTATAATTGGAATGTGTTATGTTCTCAGTTCTCAGAACAATGATTGTCATATGAACAGATTTATATAGTGCCATTTTCTGTTTCATTATAGTCTTTGCCATAAGAATGAGGTGGTAGAATTTTAATGTCTCATACATTCTGTCGATTACAGTCTTCTAATATACAGCTTTGACCTTTTCAATGTTCTATGATTTGATTGGCTACTCATTGCATTTTTCCCTTGCTTTCTGTCCCACTAACCTGTAGGGAGGATATAGAATGGACAGCCAATTGAAGTGTAGAATATTGAAAAGGTCAAAACACTACAATATGTTATCTCCACTCAGAATACATCACATACTAACCAGATTTTGTAGTTGCTCTACACGGACAAGGAGAAGAGTGGTTGCTGTGGGGGGAGTGAGCAATAAGATAATCACTCCACAGTTCAGTCGACAAATTGCAAAAGTCATGTTTTCCTGAATGTCTTAGTCATTTTCAAAATTAAAGTGAAAGCCCATTTCAAAAGTGAATACAAATTATACAGGTTGAGTATCATTTATCTGAAATGTTGGGGACTAGAAGCATTTTGGATTTTGTTATATTTTAGAATATTTGCATATACAAAATGAGATATGGGGATAAGGCCAAGTCTAAAGAAGAAATTCATTTATGTTTTTATGTACACCTTATATACATAGCCTGAAGGTAATTTTGTACAATATTTTAATTACTTTATGCATGAACATGGTTTTTGAACATTGAATCATCAGAAAACAAAGGTATCAGATGTAGAATTTTCTACCTGTGCCGTCATGTAGACATTCAAAATGTTTCAAATTTTGGAGAATACCAAACTTTGGATTTTCAGTTTAAAGGTGCTCAATCTGTATTTAGTTTTGAGAGTTAAATCAACCTCTTCAGAATCTGTTAAAGGATCTTTGCCTATATAGCTGAATAGATGCAAAGAAACCATCATTTCCGACACTCTTCATGCATTTTTGATAGTATATAACATTTTCTTTATTCTGGTATTTCATTGAAGTTGACTAGCTCTTGTGATTTTATCTTTTTTAAGAATGATATAAAAATAATACAGCAGCTATTACATATTTTAAAAAATTGATATTTCTTTTTAGAACTTCTTTACTATCAGAATTCTGAATTCTAAACTTTAAAAAGATAAATAATTACATATGATTGTGGTAAAAACTCTGATTGTTGATCTGTTATATCTTGGTGGCATTGGAACCCATGTGCCTTTTGCTACTCACTTATGATTTTGATTTTACTCACTCAATATCCCTAAGAGGTAAGTTGATTTTACATTAATAACTATGACCAAGACTTATGTACTCTCACATCAAAAACAAAACCAATATCAGCTTTAGAATCTGCATTCTCCAAATAAATTTCGCCGGTCTTTACTTTTAGTCTAATTTAATTCTTTTTTTAGTCAACTTGTTTGGACTGTCGTAAATTACTCTGCTCATTAGAATCTTGTAATAGATAAAAAAATCAATTATTCTAAAATACTTTACTTAAAACCTAGTAACACCCAGTGTTAAACAATCTAGACCAAAATTTGACAGCAATGGCCTTACCTCGATTTAATTTGAATATCTGTTCTAGCCAAATAAGCATTCAAGCAGAAAGCATTAATCTCCCACTTTCTTAGTGTACTCTATCGTTTAACATCTTATCTTTTAAATACCTAGAAGAAAGATATTTACAACGTATACGGACCTATTTGTCTCTCCATTTGGTTGTTCTCTTCATTAGTCTTACTGTCTATGTTTGACGAATTATTACTTACTACACAATAAAGGAATTTTGTATAGTATAAACATTCCTATACCATATTTTTCACTATTTCAGAAAATTGTATTTAAAATTAAACACTGTTGCTAACTCTAGGAGACTTGTGTGTTTCAAAAAACAACATTAGGTCTTATCCCTCTAGGAATACCTATATAATTAACCTATTTCATCACAGAGACCAAGTTTTACAGTAAGTTTCTATGCATGCACTTATATTTCTAAGTTGTAAGGGTAACAGTTTAGAGTGAGGAAAATACTAATCAATCAACAAAAGTATGTTCTATCATAATCTACATTTGTAAGATATTAACTGATATAAAACATTAAATTTCAAGAGAGAATATTGGAAAATGGAGTAAATCAGAGAAACAATAAATGGAGGTGCATCATAAATTGAGTACTGAAGAATAACAGATGAAATTAAAAAGAAAAATGGCTCATGTACAGTGAAAGAAAACTAAAACACATAAAAATGAGGTATTGCAAGGCCAGCAACTAATAAAGCAATAATAAGGGGTGGTAAGTAGTAGTAGGAAATAGTGTGAGAAAAATAATTTAGAACAAGATTAAGGTGTGAGAATAAGAAGTGGGTGTCCATTTTATAAGCAATTGGAATTACATGCATGGCATAATTATTAGTGTGCAATATTTCTTAAGAGGTTGATTTTACAGTATAGGTATGAAGTAAACAATGTTTTAATTGTCTGGCAAATGTGAACTGGAGAGACAGTGACAATATACAACTAATGCAAAAAAAAAAAAAAAAAAAAAAGAAAGGCAAAGTAAAAACTGATGATTGGAATGTTATGCAAACCGAGGAAGCCTGAAAATGGACTCACTAGAATTGAGGGTGTGAACAAAACGTCTCTGAAAGGAGTTTTAGAGCAAATATAATTTATTCCAGTGAACAGTCCAGTCTTAAAACCCAGGACACACCACCACCTTGGGTTAAATGAAAGAGTGTTGCAGAGAACAAAGAGAGGGTTCTCATTTTATAGCACAATATCACCCCACCAAGCCCAGGTTCCCAACCAGGTTTGTTTATGCAGATTAAGGATGGAAGCTCATTTCTGATTGGCGAGTGCGGCTAAGTTCTGATTGGTCAATGCAACTGATCCCTGATTGGTTGATACAGCTGAGCCCTGATTGGCTGGTAAGGTGAGCTCTGTTTGTTTTCCAAGCCCAAAACCAGAAGTTTCTGTCAGATATTTCTTTCAAACTGCTGGTGCGTAGATGGTTTCTGGCCATAGTTTATCTTGGTACCCACAACAGAAAGTAGTTTGACTTGATTGTAGGCAGGTAGGTCTTGTGATACTTTTACAACATCTTTCAGAGAACTCAAGAGTGTGTGACTGACTTCCTTCATGCAAGGATGGCCACCTAGTTCTATTTGAACTTTGACCACCTCAATTTGCCACTGGAAGTTCATTCTGTCAGCCCACAGCATACTTTAACAATAAAGAAAGAAACGTAGCAAGAATAACAGATATTGGAATGCAAGAATAAGAAGATTTGCATTAAACATTGTTTGGCAAAAACTGCCTCATTCTTTAATTCATTCATTTAGAAAATAGGTGGCTGGTGACTCTCTTTGTGCCAAACAGTGCCAGAAAAGCCAATGGACAATGGAAAGATTAGGCACAACACAGGAGAAGTGGATCATGAACTCTATCTCCAGACTTCTGAAGAAAAATTCCTGTTCCCATGGAATGTGTCTTTTCAGTGGGGGGGAAAACTAACACTAAGCAGCTACAGAAGCAAAGCCATATTTAATGTAATACCAAATTAGGACAAATGCCTAGAAGAAAAATGAGAGCATGAATGAATGATGGGTGGTTATTATTTTAGATAAAGTGACCATGGACAAGTTCTCTGAAGCACTCCTATTCTAACAGAGACTGGAAATGTGCAGAGCAGTAATAATGTAAAGATCTAGATCAGGATAATATGGGAAGAATTAAAAGCAAATAGAATGGCCATGGGCCAGAATGAGTTTGATGTGAAGAAGAAACAGCAAGAGGGCTTGTAAAACGACCATTATGCTGCCAAGAAAATATATAATAAAAATTTAAACTAACATTAACATCATGGAAAAATAAAACAACACAATTTTTGGCTTTATGTTAAAATAACTATGTTAACTTTTATATACTGAAATAAAAGTGTTAAGCAATTTCTAAGATATTTTTGTGACATTATAAATTCTATAAATATCGCCATACCAATTTTTGCTTATTGGAATGTATTCTTTATTTTTTTACAAATATGTAGATATTTCATATTCCTCTTAGGTTTTTAAACTAGAAATTAGTGTGATTTGTTGGTAATCTAGGAATTTTCGTTCTGAGGCTTCTGTCACTGTGAAGGAAACTTTCTCATTTTTTATAATCTGTTATTGGGTGCCCTCATCCCCTCAAAAAGTCAAGTGCTGTCATTAATAATACATTATAATCTTCCTACAATATCCCATAGTCACATAGGCAATATAAGTAAAATAATATAGTTAAAAGAAAAATGATTTATGAGAAATAGTATGGAATCTCTATTGTTCCTTGAGAGTGTCATTTCTCTCTCTCTCCTACCCCTATTCATCTATTTTCTAAGATAATTTTAAAAACTCGACTTTCCCTTTCAAAAATGGATTTCTTGACCCAACTAAAAATGTAATTTGATTTTTTATTTAATTAGCCAGTGTCCCAAGTGACACAATTGGATAATGTTATCACAAAGGCTAATTTATATCTTTAATATAAAAGATATTTGTGACACACAGACCCACTTTACTTTTCCACAGCATATCAGTTTCTTCTAGCTTATTTATTTTGGTTAATAACATCATAATACACCAATTTTTAAATCTTATTGGGCTTTGTACCCAAATTCCCCTCAGATTCTTCTGCCCCAAGCACAGGCTAACTATCCCATATCCAAAATTATTGGAACGAGAACTGTCTTAGATTTTGATTTTTTTCAAATTTTGGAATATTTGAATATATATAATGAGATATCTTGGGGATGAGGCCCAAGTCTAAACATGAAATTCATTTATGTTTCCTACACACCTTATACACATAGCCTGAAGGTGATTTTACACATTATTTTAAATAATTGTGTGCCAGTGACAAAGTTTTTGTTAAGTACTTGTGTGTGGAATTCTCCACTTATGGCATTATGTTGATGCTCAAAAACCTTTGGATTTTGGAGCATTTTAGCTTTCAAATTTTTGTATTGGTGATGCTCAACCTAAGTATCTTTTTATAATTAAAAGAATATTAAGTAATACAAGCTTTATTGGCTTTCCATTTTCTAATAAATTTGTTGCAAATTTTAGACTTGTAAACAATGCTTGTCATAATCAGGTTCTACTATGTGATTATTCCAGAAGCTCTTTATATAATATATTTCAAACAAGATGAATGGATTGCCATTCGTAAAACTTTGTGATGCTCTTCCTATATCTTTGCTCTAATAAAATATGAATTCTTCTTCATTTTATACAATATAGTCCATCTTCCAGTAAATCTAATCTAATAACCCCAGAAAAGATATTCCTTTGTACTCTGAAATTTAAGAAAGCTTTGTATCATTTATGGTTTTTACCATAAAGGTAAATGTGGTAGTACCGCACTCCTAAACCAGAATGAAAGAGCTTCATTTTGAATTTTGGGAATCTTATTTATTAACTCTTTGACTTTAGTCAAAGTATTTACTAACTTTTTTTTTTTTTTTGGACAACATGGAGATTTATTTACTGTTACTATTATATTTTACAGTGGTGATAGTATCAAAAGTTAAACACTTTCTGAAACAACGAATGAAAAATAAGGAAAACTACCAATTTATTATTCCAGAAGCTATACAGTCTTTAGATATCTTTTGACTTACATTCCCTTTTGCTCTGCTCATCAGAGACATATCTTTCTTTCTAATATCTCAATTGTTTAACACATGCCCGCTTACCAGTTGTCTGTTATGGTTGATGAAAATTTATGGTTCTAAGTGTGTTTTTATAGAAATTAGGAAAACATTGCAAATCATGAATTCTATTGATTCAAAAACATTTTAAAAACCTGAAGTAGAAGTCTAGCTCCAGTTATATGATATTGTCAGGTCAGTATCTTCTTTGTACTCTAATTTTCTCTTTCATAAAATGAGACTTGTAAAACATTTACCTTAGTTTCTCAAAGAGTCATTATAAAAAAAAACAAATGAGGAGATGTATGTGAAAATCTTTTCCCAAAGTAAAAATTGTTATGTAAATGTAGCAGAATATTATTGTTATCCCCATCATTATTAGTGCTGATGATAGCAGATGACTTCAGCACTGCACAGATGCATAAAACAGTTTGATGCAACTTTTCTCCAGTCTGCCAGGTGATAAATATGAAGTATGCCCTCCTGTGTGTAACATACTGACATCCTTTTTATTTTTATTTTTTTATTTTATTTGTTTTTAAAAGTGACACCAAATTTGCTCTAACTTTCAAGCCTCAATGTCTAAAACTGCTTAAACCTGTTAAACCTGGCTTAACGAACTGTTGTCAAATTTATCAGCAAAATAACAATTGGAAACTAAATTTTTGGCAAAATGTTTTGGTGATTCTTTTGAACATGTTATTTGGTAAATTGTTTATTTGGTAATTTGCTTTCTATTAGCTAGTTTTTTTTGAATAAACTGATCTTAAGCAAGTATTTTAGTTTTTTAGGGCTGCCATAAATATACCACAGACGGTATGGCTTTAAACAACATAAATTTATTTTCTCACAGTTTAAGATCAAAATATTGTAGGTTTGATTTCTTCTGAGGGTTTTCCTCTTGGCTTGCACATGGCCCCCTTCTTGCTGTGTGCTTACATAATCACCTTTCTGTATGCAAGTACAAGTGCCCCTGGTGTCTCTTGAGTGTCTTAATTTCCCCTTTTTAGAGGGATAGCAGTTAGATTGGATAAGGACCCTTCTAATTACCTCATTTTAATGTAATCATTAGTGCAAAGGCCCTATCTCCAATTACAGTCACATACTGAGGTACTGGGATTTAGGCATTCAACATACATATGAGTGGTCAGTGACAAAATTCAACCAATAACAGTAAGTTTACTTAAAAAGAGTTAAAGTGAACCTGTATTTACTAGGCTTGAAAAATAACCAGTGCTGGATATTATCATTAGTGATGATGATGTAGAATGAGTAACTTCTGCATTTTCAGCACTCAAAAAATACATATACAGTTGCCGGGCCCAGTAATGCTCTCCCATAGTCTCAGCTACATGGTAGGCTGGAGTATAAGAATCCCTTGAGCCCAGGAGTTTAAGACCAGCCTGGGCTATGCAGTAAGACCCCTTCTCTAATTAAAATATATATGTATACACACACACACACATGCATACAGATATTCCTTTAACTCTAGAAAATAACTTTTGCATAAGTGACATCAGATGCTGTTTCACAGAAATTATTTGACTATGTTTCATCACTGAATGATTGTACTTGGTCCATGTACAAAAGATATCAGAGCTATAGTAGTTCCCCCTTATCTGCAGGGAAGATATTCCAAGACGCCCAGTAGATGCCCAAAACCGAAGATAGGACTAAATTATATATGTATTTTTTTCTTATACATACATAACAATAATAAATAAATAATTTATAATAAGTAAATAATTAAATAATAAATAATTTACAAATTAGGCACAGTAAGAGACAACTTATAGAACAATTATAACATTTACTTTAATAAAATTTATGTGACTGTGGTCTCTCTTAAACTATCTCATTGTACTGTACTCACCCTTCATCTTGTGATTATATGATATGATAAAATATCTACGTGATGAGATGAAGTGAGGTGAATGACTTAGGCATTGTGATGTAGTGTTAAGGTACTATTGACCTTCTGACAATATGTCAGAAGAAGGATCATTTGCTTTGGGTAATCCTGGATCACCAAGCCACGATGATGTCTGTAGCTAAATGTCGGGAGCAGCAGAAGATATGCATAGCTAATGGGTGGATATGTTGGATGAAGATATGATTCACCACAACCCCCAGGCTGGATAAAGTATGTTGGCATGAGATTTCACCATGTTACTTAGAATGGCACAAGTTATGGATTTTTTTCTAGAATTTCTATTTAACATTTTAAGACAGCAGTTGACTGTGAGTAACTGAAATCATGGAAAGTAAAACCATGAATAAATGGGGACTACTGTGTAGAAGATAAGTCTGATGAACAAACTGTGTTTAACTTATTATTTTAGTATTGATGCCAGAAGTGGTAGATTAGGCATTGGAATAATTTAATACTATGTATAGAAACACAAGGAATATAAGACAATAAATCTAGAATAAAATCTCATTAGTATGGAATATGTGTCAGTGTAAGCTATATTTCTGTATATATTTGTATTTTGAATGGGTTCTGTTCAATATGCAAATTAGAAAATGTATTTTTGAAATTAGTGTGTCTGTGTTTTGGGTGGATCGAGTAAAACTTAGAGCAGACCCGGCTGGGCGCAGTGGCTCACGCCTGT
Organism: Homo sapiens; assembly: GCF_000001405.40. NCBI lineage: Eukaryota > Metazoa > Chordata > Mammalia > Primates > Hominidae > Homo > Homo sapiens. Next base: position 85,039,272 of record NC_000005.10, read on the forward strand.
AATCCCAACACTTTGGAAGACCAAGGTGGGCAGATCACGAGGTCAGGCGCTCTAGACCAGCCTGGCCAATATGGTGAAACCCCATATCCACTAAAAAATACAAAAATTAATGTAAGTCATATTGAAATAATAAGCACATGGACTGTAATTTATTTTACTGCATAATGACACAACAGCTACATCTATTTATATCAATGATATTTAAGCAAATATTAAAAGCATCAGTTCCGCATTGTCACAGGTAACCAAAACAAGAAATGATTAACTTATACAATGTAAAGCACATAAATCTACCACTCAATATTAATTTAAACTTGGCCATATTAATCTTTCTGAGCCTTTGTGTCTTCATGTGTCAAATGAGGATAATAAGTGGACAACTGGTAAAATACTCACTACAGCACTACATTGGAAGTTTGCATAAAAAGTCTGTGCTTCCTAGCGAGTTTTGAGGTCAGCTGTTCTGAGCAGACATTTGAACTCACTTGTGAATGGCATGACATTCTAGGAGACAGAGTTGTGAGATAAATTTTCTGAAAAGCCATTACAGGATCAGGATAGCTTTCAGACTTGGTAGAGTTATGGAAGAGATGTGACATAAATAATTAAGTGAGGTCGAAAGATTAAAACATGTATTTTCTTTTTAAAATGCTCCTCTCCCCTTTTTCTCCAAGAAATTTTACATATACTTGAGTTTAAAAAGTATATATACATACACACACACACACACACACATACACACATATACACACAGACACACATACCTATTAAAGTATATATGCCAGCTAAATACCAATGGAGATAAAATAAGACTGTTTTCATTGTTACGGGTTTTAGGAGATGTGAATCTTTATGGAAAAGAGGTGTTAGGTTTAGCAACTTGGTTGATTCAACTTGGTTTCCCTCATGTTCATTCAGCAAATATTACCTGTGTTGGAGGTATATTGCTGGATTTTCTTTTTACTTTTATTTTGACATAACATTAGAATTACAGAGGATTTGTAAAAGAGTACAGGAGACGATTTGTAACGAGTTCAGTGATTTCCCATTTACTCTTTAACCATCTTGCTCTTATATGTTAACATCTCACATAATTATAGCACATTTATCAAAACTAGCAAATTAAACTTGTACGGTATTACTAATTCAATTGCAGAACATATCTGCATGTCATCAGTTATTCCACTGATGCGTCTTTTCTCTTCAAAGATCAAATCCAGCCTCCTACATTCCATTTAGTTGTCATGTCTTTTTAGTCTTTTCCAATATTTGATAGTTCCTAAGTCATTCCTTGTCTTTCATGACCTTGACAATTTAGAAAAGTACTGCACAGCTATTTGTATAATTTTTCCATTTAAATTTGTATAGTATGTTATATTATTAGAATGAGTTTGTGCATTTTTGGTAATAGCACAGAGGTCATGTGACCTTATTGCGTTAAATCAAGGGTTACATTATATAATTAGGACTTATTATTGGTTATGTTCATTTTGATCACTTGGATAATATGGTGTCTATCAGGATTCTTCACCCTAAAGATTTATTTTTTTTTCCTTCTGCATTTACTAAAAATTTTGGAAGATAGACATTGTGACTATGCAAGTGAATTGTTTCTGCTTAACTTTCATCCACTAATTTTAGCATCCACTGGTTGATCTTGACTATAGCAATTATTACTCATGTTTTAATAGTGACTTTCTAATTCCCTTATTGCTTCTACATTAATTTTAAAATCATGTTTATTTTACTTAGTAAAATTTTTATAGATTTAAGTGGTAGAGTGTAGTTTTGTTACCTGGATATATTGTGTAATGGTGAAGTCTGGGCTTCTATTACTAACACTCAAATAGTGTACATTGTACTCATTTGGTAATTTCCCATCCCTTACCCTCCTCTCAACCTTCCACCTTTCCAAGTGTCCAATGTTTTATTATTCCACTCTCTGTGTCCATATATTCACATTATTTAGCTCCCACGTATAAGTGAGAACATACATGTATGTGACTTTCTGTTTCTGAGTTATTTTGCTGGGTTAAGATAATGGCCTTCAGTTGTATCCATGTTGCTGGAAAAGACATGGTTTCACCCTTTTATATGGCTGAGTAGCATTCCACAGTGTATATATAGCACACTGCTTTATCCAGTCATTCACTGATGGACACTTAGGTTGATTCCATATCTTTGCTAATGTGAATAAAATTGCAATAAACATATAAGTACAGGTATCTTTTGGTTAAAATTATTATTATTTTTTTGGGTTGAAACACAGTAAACACAGTAGTGGGATTACTGGATTAAATGGTAGTTTTATTTTTAATTCCTTTAAAAATCTCATACTGTACAAGCATAGAGGTTGTAATAATTTACATTCCTACCAATGGTTGTATAAGCATTCCCTTTTTTTCTGTAGCCTCACCAAAATCTGTTATTATATGACTTTTTATTAATAACCACTCTGGTGTAAGATGGTATCTCTTTGTGGTTTTAGTTGATTTATCTGATGATTAGTGATGTTGAACGTTTTTTAAATATGCTGGTTGGCCATTTTATTTCTCCTTTTGAAAAATGTCTGTCATGACCTTTTTGTATCTTTTAACAGGGTTATTTTTCCTTCTGATGTTTTTGATTTCCATGTAGTTCTGGATATTAGTTTTTTGTCAGAGGCACAGTTTGTAAATATTTTCTCTCAATTGAGATTGTCTGATCACTCTGTTGATTCTTTTGCTGTAGAGAAGCTTTTTTTGTTTAAAGTATTATTTATCAAATTTTGCTTTGGTTGCATTTGTTTTTGAGGTCTGTCATAAATTCTTTGCCTAGGCCAATATCCAAGATAGTTTGTTGTAAGTTTTGTTTTAGAACTTGTATAGTTTCAGGTCTTACATGTAAGTCTTTAATTCATTTTCTGTTAATTTTTTTATATGGTGATAGATATGGTTTGGATATATGTCCCTCCCCAAATCTCATGTCAAATTGTAATCCCCAGTGTTAGAGGTGGGGTCTGGTAGGGGGTGATTGGATCATGGGGGCAGAGTTCCCACGTTTAGCACTATCCCCCTTGGTACTGTATAGTGAGTAAGTTATTATGAGATCTGATTACTTAAAAAGAGTGTTTCATGTTCCCCTCTCTCTCTCTCTTCCTCCTGCTTGGCCATGTAAAACATGCCCACTTCCCCTTCACCCTCTCCGTGACTGTAAGTTTCCTGAGGCCTCCCCAGTCCTGCTTCTTGTACAGTTTACAGAATGATGAGCCAATTAACTCTCTTTTCTTTATAAATTACCCAGTCTCAAATATTTCTTCATAGAAGTATGAGAACAAATTAATACAACAAGAGATATAGACTCAGTTTCATTCATCTGCATATGGCTACACAACTTCCTCATCAGTATTTATTTACCAGGGTGTCCTTTCTCCATTGTTTATTTTGTCAACTCTGTCAAAAATCAGTAGAGTGTAGGTATGTGTTTTTACTTCTGTTTTCTTTATTCAGTTCCATTGATCTGTATGTCTATTTTTACCCTGATACCATGCTGTTTTGGTTACTATAGCCTCTTAGTATAATTTGAAGTTAGGTAATGTGATACCTCCATCTTTTGTCTTTTTGCCTAGGATTGTCTTGGCTATTCAGACTCTTTTTGGTTCTATATGAATTTTGAGATTGTTTTTGTATCTCTGAAAAATGATATTGGGATTTTGATTAGAACTGCACTGAATCTGTAGTTTCCTTTGGGAAGCTGGGTATTTTAACAATATTCATTCTTCCAATCCATGAGCATGTTTCCATTTGTTTGTGTCATCTACAATTGCTTTCATGAGATATTTGTAATTTCCTTTATAGAGCTCTTTCACCTTTTGGCTAAATATATTTCTAGCTATTTTATTTTATTCTATTTTATTTGTAGCTATTGTAAATGGAATTAACTTCTTGATTAGGTGCTCATCTTGATTTTTATTGGTGTATAGAAATGCAACTGATTTTTGTATGTTGATTTTGTACTGCAAAACTTTACTGAATTCATTTGTCAAATGTACTCTTTTCTCATTTAGGTGCCTTTTACTTCTTTCTCTTATTTTTTCCAGTTTTTAGGGGAAATGCTTTAAATTTTTCCCTGTTTTGTATGATGTTGGCTGTGGGTTTGTTGTATATTGTTTTTATTATTTTGAGGTACGTTTCTTCTAAACCCAGTTTTTAAAAGTTTTTATTATGAAAGGAGGCTGACTTTTATCAAATGTTTTCTATGCATCCATTGAGATAATCATATTGTTTTTATTTTTAATTCTGTTTATGTGGTGAATCACATTTACTGGTTGGCATATGTTGAATCATTCTTGCATACCTGGAATAAAATTTGCATGATTGTCTTTTTGATGTGCTATTGGATTTGTTTTGCTAGTACTTTTTGATGATTTTTGAACATATGTTAATAAAGAATATTGGTCTATCATTTCCTTTTTCTTCTGTGTTTTTTTCTATCTTTGGTGTAAGGATGATACTAGCTTCATAGAATGGGTTGGAGTGAATTTCCTCCTCCTCAAAGTTTTGGAACAATTTCAGTAGTTTCATCAACAGTTCTTTGTTTGTCTGGTAGAATTTGGCTGTGAATCCATTTGGTCCTGGGCTTTTTTTTTGTTCATGGTATACATGGTGCAGGTGCAAGTATTTACATGCGTAAATTGCATGTCTCTGGGGCTTGGTGTACAAATGATCATGTTACTCAGGTAGCGAACAGAGTACCCGATAGGTAATTTTTTTTATCTTCATCCTCCTCCCTCCCTCTACCCCTAAGTAAACCCCAGTGTCTATTGTTCCTCTCTTTGTGTCCATGTGCAATCACTATTTAGTTTCTGCTTATAAATGAGATGTTACTTAGGGTGTTTGGTTTTCTGTTCCTTAGTTGGTTCATTTAGAACAATGGCTTCTAACTGCATCCATGTTGTTGAAAAGAACATGATTTCATTCATTTTTGTAACTATGTAGTATTCCATGGTGTATATTTACTGCATTTTCTTTATCCAGTGCACTACTTAACAGGCATTTGGGTTGATTCCATGTCTTTTCTATTATCAATGGTGCTGGGATGAACATGCAAGTGCATGTGTCTATTTGATAGAACAATTTATTTTCCTTTGGATATATACCCAGTAACCAGATTCCAGGGTCAAACAGTAGATTTGTTTTTTCTTTTTTTTTCTTTTTGACAGAGACTCCCTCTGTCACCCAGGCTGGAGTGCATTGGTGGGATCTCAGTTCACTGCAACCTCCAACTCCCAGTTTCAAGAGATTCTTGTGCCTCAGCCTCCCGAGTAGCTGGAATTACAGACGTGTGCCACCATGCCTGGTTAATTTTTGTAATTTTAGTAGAGTCGGGTTTCACCATGTTGGCCAGGCTGGTCTCAAACTGCTGACCTCAAGTGATCCACCCACCTCAACCTAGCAAAGTGCTGGGATTATAGGTGTGAGCCACCTGTCAAAACGAGCCGCCCGGCCGGTAGTTCTTTTTTAAGTTCTTTGAGAATCTCCAAAGTCCTTTCCGCAGTAGCTGTACTAATTTACATTCCCACCAGCAGTGTGTAAGCATACCCTTTTCTCCACAACCTTACTAACCTATATTTTGACCTTTTAATAATAGATATACTGACTGATGTGAGATAGTATCTCCTTACAGTTTTGATTTGCATTTCTGATTTTTTTTTTTTTTTTTTTTGACAGAGTCTCGCTCTGTCACCAGGCTGGAGTGCAGTGGCACAATCTTGGCTCACAGCAACCTCCACCTCCCGGGTTCAAGCAATTCTCTTGCCTCAGCCTCCTAAGTAGCTGGGACTACAGGGGCGCACCACCACACCCAGCTAATTTTTGTATTCTTAGTAGAGACGGGGTTTCACCATGTTGGCCAGGATGGTCTCGATCTCTTGACCTTGTGATCCGCCCGCCTTGGCCTCCCAAAGGGCTGAGATTACAGGTGTGAGCCACCATGCCCAGCTGTGTGTATGTCTTCTTTTGAGAAGTGTCTGTTCATATCCTTGCCCACTTTTAAATCAGATTATTTGTTTTATGCTTGTTGATTTGTGTAAGTTCCTTATAGATTCTGGATATTAGACATTCGATGCATAGTTTGTGAATATTTTCTCCCATTCTATAGGTTGTCCATTTACTCTGTTAATAGTTTCTCTTTCTGTATAGAGGTCTTTAGTTTAAATAGCTCTCATGTAAGAATTTTTGTTTTTGTTGAAATTGCTTACTGTTTTCTTCATTATTATATAGTTGCCAAGGCCTATGTCCAGAGAGGCATTTTCTAGGTTTGCTTGTAGAGATTTTAGAGTTTTGGATTTTAAGTTTAAATCTTTAATTCATCCTAAGTTGATTTTTGTATGTGGTAAAAGGAGGTGGTTCAGTTTCAATCTTCTGCATGTGGCTAACCAGTTATCTCAGCACCTTTTATTGAATAAGGAATCCTTTCCCCTTTGCTTGTTTTTGTCAGGTTTGTCAAAAAGCAGATAGTTTTAGTTGTAAGGCTTTATTTCTGAATTTTCTATTATATTCTATTGTTCTATGTGTCTCTTTTTGTGCCAATTTTGGTTGCAGCTGTTTTGGTTATGCTCTTTTGATTACATTAACCTTGTAGTACACTTTGTAGTATAGTTTGAAGTTAGGTAGTGTGATGTATCCAGCTATGTTCTTTCTAGGTAAGATTGCTTTGGCTATGCAAGCACATTTTTGCTTCCCTGTGAATTTCAAAATAGCTTTTTCTAATTCTGTGAAAAAATGATATTGGTAGTTTGTTAGGAATACCATTGAATCTGTAAATTGTTTGGGTTAGTATGGCCATTTTAACATATTGATTCTTTCTATTCATGAATATGAAATGGTTTTTCATTTGTTTGTGTTACCTCTGATATCTTTCAGGAGGGTTTTGTAATTCTCATTGTAAAGATTTTTCATCTCCCCATTAGCTGTATTTGTAAGTATTTATTATTTCCTGACAATTTAAATGGGATTGTGTTCCTGATTTAGCTCTCATCTTGGACATTATTGGTTTATATAAATGCTATGGATTTTGGTACAATGATTTCATCCTGAATCTTAGTTGGTTGTTTATCAGTACTGGGAATCTTTTTTCAGAGACTGGGGTTGTCTAGGTACAGAATTATATTGACGGAGAAGACAAAAAGTTTGACCTCCTCTTTTCGTACTTTGATGACTTTTATTTCTTTCTCTTGCCCGATTGCTCTGGCTAAGACTTCCAGTACTTTGTTAAATAGGAGTGATGAAAGAGGGTATACTTGTCTTGTTTCAGTTCTCAAGGGGGATGCTGCCAGCTTTTGTCCATATAATATGATGTTGGCTATGGGTTTGTCATAGACGCGTCTTATTATTTTGAGGTGTGTTCCTTCAATGCCTAGTTTGCTGGGGGGTTTTAACATGAAACAATATTGAATTTTGTCAAAAGCCTTTTCTGAATCTATTGAGATGATCATGTAGTTTTTGTTTTTGTTCTGTTTATGTGGTGAATCACATTCATTGATGTGCATATGTTGAGCTAACCTTGCATCCCAGAAGTGTAGCATACTTGATTGTTGTGGATTAACCTTTTGACGTGCTGCAGGATTCAGTTTGCTTGCATGTTGCTAAGGATTTTTCATCTATGTTCATCACAGATATTAGCCTGATATTTTTTTCTTTGTGTTTCTGCCAGGTCTTGGTACCAGAATGATGTTGGCCTCATAGAATGAGTTAGCGGGGGAGTCCCTCCTCCTTGAAATTTTGGAATAGATTTAGATGGATGGCTACCAGCTTTTGTTTATGGTAGAATTCTGGTAGAATTCAGCTGTGAATCCATATGATACAGATTTTTTTCCTCTTGGTAGGTTTTAAATCACTGATTCAATTTTGGAACTCTTTATTGTTTTTTTCAGATATTCAATTGCTTCCTGGTTCAATCTTTGAAGGTTGTAAGTTCCCAAGAAATTATCCATTTCTTCTGTTTTCTAATTTGTGTGTATGGAGTTGTCTTTTTCTCCTTTCAGTTTTTATCTTTTTGCCCCATGCCTTTTTGTAATTCTGTAATTAGGTGCAGCCACACATAAGACATTATGTTCTTTTGGTGAATTAACACCTTTATGTGATGATTAACACCTAATTGGTATGAATTATCACTCATTACTCCTGATATTATTCCATTTTATAATAAAGTTCTATTCAACTCCTTCATTATTATTATTAATTATTGTTATTTTTTGCCTCTTGAAATTTTACTTCTTTTACTAGTAATTTTTAAAAGGAGTTTTATTTTATTATTTTCAAGATAGCAAATTAGAGGCTTTTAGAATGCCTCAGCCACTTGGAAATAGCAAGATAGTGCATAAGCATCTACTCTGTGAGCTTTAGTTCAAAAAGGAAAATGGGAATCCACCAGAAGCTTGATATGCACCCCAGATTGTGGGAAAGAGAATGCCAGCAAATGGCCCCCGTGATGGTGTCTGGCTGATAAAAATGAATGAGGCTTAGTATACAAGAGAAGCACAAAGCCTCCCTCTGGGACTCACCTTTCCATGGGGAATCCAAGGGACCCAGGTTGAGGGATCACACTGTTTCTCACAAGCCCTGGAAATAACTTGGAGAAAGGCTTAGATGTGCTGTGGAGGAAAGATGCTGAGGAAAGCTGTAGATATTTTCAAGACCCAGGAATGAAAGCAGGACACCATATTCAGCCATTCTTTAGTGACCACACAGGCATTTTAGTCTCATGACAAAGTTTGGAGTATCGGATCTGGAGCAGGATAAAAGCCTACACAGCAAAAATTGTGGAAAGCACCTTAGCAGTAGAAATCATGCTCTCCCCTGTCACAAGCCTGGGGCAAGAAGGGAGGAGCCATAGTTGCAGTTTCTCCTGAGCAATGAGACTTGCAACCAAGGTCAGATTGGTGACCAGCAATCTGTCTTCACATGCTATTGCTCGGTGACCTGGCCTGCTCACCTAAGATTGTGGTGCAGTGGGACCCCTTAGGCAGAAATCCAAGCATTTGGAACATCCACTTTCCTGGACTGGTGGCCAAAACCACCCCACTCTTACTGGAAATAGATCATTGTGCAGCAGGGCTCTCTCTGTTCCACAAGTAGGCAGATCTCCAGGCATTTGGAACACTCACTCACTTGGATCAGTGGAATGACCCATGCCACCCTTCCTGTGTAGAGATCTTAGTGCAGGGAGGCCCTCTCTGCTTCACACTCGGGCAGATCTCCAGACAATTGTAGCACCTGCTGTGCTAGATCTACACTTTGAGTCACCTATCTTTCCAGGACATAGATCACGGTGCAGCAAGGCCTTCTCTACTCCACTCCCAGGCATATCCCCAGGCATTCAGAGGACCAGGTCAGCCAGCAGACTGAGCCACGCAACTCTTCCTGTTCAGAGATCCTGGTGTGAGGTTGAGGCTGGGGAGGCGGCTCTCTGCTGTACTCCCAGGCAGATCTCCAGGCATTCAGAGTATCTGCTTGCCTAGTTCAGCAGCCTGAGTTGCCCTCCTCTTCCTATGTGGTCATCTTGTGGCAGATCTCCACTCTATGCCCAGGCAGATCTCCAGGCACTCAGAGCACCTGCTTGCCTGGAACAGAAGCCTGAGCAATCCTACCCTTCCTGTGTAGAGATCCTGGTGAAGGAGAGTTCTGTCTGCTTAATACCCAAGCAAATCTCCAGGCATCTAGAGCCCCCACCCTCTTGGATTAGGAGTTTAGGCCACCCTTCATCCCCATGCAGGGAATTTGAGGCTAAAGTGGTTTCCCAGCTCCATGCTACACACATCTCTTGATCTCTTGGTGCCTTGTGGCCACCCACTATATTCTCCCATGGTGGTGCTTGTGTCTGCCATGTGCAGACCTGTACACAGACCTATTCAATCAGGCCCACCCATTTGGTCTGCCTCCTCAGGGCTGAACAGGGTGCTTAGACCACCATGCACTTTATGAATCAGCCCATTGCCTGAGGCAACAGAAAGCTTCTCCCAGTAAACAAGGATCAAGTACGTACCCAGCTGCATTGGCTACATCTAGCTCTTGCCTATAAGCACCACCTACTGGTTTATATGTTAAACTTCACAGCCCAGTATAAAACCTGCTGACAAAAGTTCATAGGGCTATAGAAGCAAAGTGTAATAAAAAGATTCTATGCAACATTCTCTACAGTCACACCTCCTGGAGGTGGGGGGGACACAAGGGGAAATAAAATAATAATAATAATAATATAGAGAAAGGAAACAAGAAAAAAATCTACCTGCATGAAAATAATTACACACACACAAAATAGAAGTGCCAGTATCTCCAGGTGAGAAGGAACCAGCAGAAGAATTCTGGCTCCATGAAAAATATTAATGTAGTGACCCCATCAAAGGATTGCACTACCTTTCCAGCAATGATCCCTAACCAAAATGAAAACAAAAAAAATTATAGAGAAAGAATTGAAAGCATGGATTTCAAGGAAGCTCAATGAGATCTGGGACAAGGTTGACAGTCATGAAAAAATAACGTCTAAAGCAATCCAGGAAATTATGGAAAAGATAAAAATTTTTTAAAAGATCAATCAGAGCTTCTAAATTGAAAGAATGACATAAGGAATTTCAAAATGCAATCAAAAGCTTAATCAATAAAATGGACCAAGTAGAAGAAAGAATTTCAGAGATTGAAGACTGTCTTTCAGACTAACTCAGTCAGACAAAAATAAAGAAAAAAGAATTTACAAATTGAACAAACTCTTTGATAGATATGGGATTATGAAAAGTTACCACATCTGTGAGTAATTGTCATCTCTAACAGAGAAGGGGAAAAATGCAACAACCTGGAAAACATATTTGAGGGAGTAATTAAAGAAAATTTCTCTAATCCTGCTGTAGAGTTAGGCATCCAGATACAAGAAATCCGGAGAACACCTCCAAGACTTTATACAAAGCAAACATCATAAAGGTATATAGTCATCAAACTGCCCAAGGTCAATGTTAGAAAAATTAAAAATCTTAAATGTGGCTTGAGAAAAAAGTCAGATCATGTATGAAATTAACTGTATCAGGCTAACAGCAAATTTCTCAGCAAAAGACTTTTGCTGAGAGATTGGGCATTTTCAAAGAAAAGACATTTTCTTTATCAGCATTCTTAAAGAAAAGAAACTCCAGCCAATAATTTCATATCACAACAAACTAAGCTTCATAAGAAAAGAAGAATTAAAATCTTTTCCAGACAAGCAAGCACTAAGGGAATTCACTACCACTAGGCCAGCCTTACAGGAGATCCTTAAGGGAGTTCTAAACATGGAGATGAAAATACAATGCCTGCTACCACAAAACCACAGTTACATAGCCCACAGACTCTATAAAGCAACCATACAATAGAAACTACAGGGTAACCAACTAACAACTTCATGAGAGAATCACAACCTTACATATTAATATTAACCTTGAATGTAAATGGTCTATACACCCCATGTAAAAGGCACAGAGTGGCAAGTAAGAATTAACACAGAAACAGAAAAGCATATACCACATGTTCTCACTTACAAGTAGAAGCTAAACATTAGGTACTCATGGACATAAAGGTGGCAACAATAGAAACTGGGTACTAGTAGAGATGGGAAGAGGGAGGTGGGCAATGTTTGAAAAACTTGGGCGACAGCCTCATTTGTGCCCCAAACTTCAGCATTATGCAATACTCCCAGATAACAAACTTGCACATGTATCTCCTGAATCTAAAATAAAAGTTAAAATAAAGGATGTTTTGCAGTTAAATATATATATATATATATATATATATCATATATAGAGAGCTCTATTCATCTGATACTAAATGTATTGTATTAACATTTTTCTCCATCCTTTTAGTTTTATACTATCTATGCTTTCATACTTAAAGTGGCTTTCTTATAAATATTACATAGATGATTCTTGCTTTGTAACTTTTTAAATAGATCAGACAATTTCTGTTTTGTAACTGATGTTTGTTGATGCATAAAGAGATTATTGATATGATTAGATTATAACTTGCCATCCTGCATTTTCCCATTTATTTCTATTTTCGCCCTTTTATTTCTGCCTTCTCTTGCATTAATTGAGCCTTTTAAATAATTCTATTTCATCTCTTTCACTTATTATTTATATAGTTTTTAAAATCTTAAGTGGTAGCCTTTGGTGATACAATGTAATGTATATTTTTAATAAATCTGAGTACACATTTAAATAATTAAATACTGCTATATATGCAGTTTAAATACTATATAGCCATATAATGTCAATTTTTTTCTTTCCTCCTTTGTTCTATTCTGTTTAGCCTTTTACTTTTACAAATGCTATGCACATACCATACTTTTCTATATTTTTGCTTAAGATAGTCAATTATCTTTGCAACAGAAAGGCAATAAGAAAATATTAAAATTTACCAATCTTATTTATTATATTTTCAGTGTTTATCATTTCTTTGTATAGATCCAAGTCCTAAACTGCTATCGTATTCTTTGTGAATAAATATTTTTTAAAATTTCCTACAGAGTTTATCTAGTGTCGACAATATCCTTAAGCTTTTGCTTGAGAAAGTCTGTTTTTCATCTTTATTTTGAAAAGATATTTTCACTGTGTATGGAATTCGAGTTTTTCTTTTCTTTTCCTTTTTCCTCATTACATTAGAGGTGTCACTGCACTATTATTTACCTTATGTGATCTAGACACAAAGTCTCCTCTGATTCTTATGTGTGATCATTAAAATTTAATGTTTCTGTTTTTCTCTAACTGCCTTAATGATTTTTGTGTTATCTCATATTTTCAGTAGTTTAAATATAATTACATTTTTGTTCTTATTATTTTGTTTTGATTTATATTTTTTATTCTGCATGATATTCTCTGAATTGCGTAGAACTACAAATTTTCCTATTATTAATTTTGGAAAAATATCAAAGTATCTTCAAATATTTCTTTGTCTAGTTTTTTTTTTTCTCTTTTCTTTTTGGGGGTATAATTACACTTGTGATACAAGATTCGATATTGTTCCCCAAATTTTTGATACTCTGCTTTTGTAACTTTTTATCTATTTATACTTATTTTTAGGTAATTTCTATAGACCTATGTTTAAGCTTACATATTCATTTCTTCTCTGTGCTAAGTCTACTGATAAAGCCATCAAAAGCATCTTCATTTCTGTTGCTGTTTTATTTATCCCTTCATTTCCGTGTGATAATTCCTTGCGGTTTCAAAATAATATTCATTTTTACTCTATGTTTTATCTTAAAAGTCACTTTACACTACAGAATATATTTAATAAGTCCCCCACACTCCTCAAAAAAGACTGTAATGACAATTTGTGTCTCAATCCTCTGAACTGAAGTTTCTCATAGAAAATTGTTTCATGCTTACTGAGGATTCACCAAATAAACTTTGGTTTGATCATTATTTTTCATCTTTTTAGTGTTTAAATATTCTAGAATAACTCTGTCATTTTCAGTTTTTAAATAGTCATATCCCTACTTTTCAATAGAGGTAACAGTCTTGTGTAGATTCCCAAAAATAGATGAGGGAAAGAGCGCTGTGGAGGCACGTCCCTCACTCCAAGAAGGAGCTAAGCTCTACAACCACAGAAAGAGAGGAGTCACAACAAAGCTGATCTGGCATGTTCTCTAATTTTAGCATGTTTTTCATACTAATAATAGTTATTCTGAATTCCCTGACAATTCCAACATCTGTGTCCTATTTGTTTCTTGTTTTGATTGCTTTGTCTCTTACGACTGTGCTTTTTCATGACTTCTTACATCTTGTAATTTTTTATGTTAAAATTTAGTCATTTTGTATGAACAGTGGAAATTGAGGTAAACAGTTTTTATTTTTGGAAATAAACATGCCTTTGTTAGGCATTTAGTGCAGGGAGATGTTTGAGTTCATCTAATTAGGAATTAGTCTGGGTTGTAGATTCCGGATTGTAGATTTGTTGTTGCTATAATTAGCCTCAATGGACCACAGCCTTCAAATTCCTGTAGGACTATCTTTTGTTTAGGGTGGAGCTTAGTTTATTAGAATGATGACTGTTTTTAAGTTTTAGATCTACTCTGCACTGTGCCACAAAGTGGGTCTTTTTGATTGTTCTTGTTCCGTCTGCTCCCTACCAGCAGTTTTCTCCTTTTACTGGTTATCCAAATCATGTTATCTTGGCAGTTGAGGGTGGAGTGTGGTGCTTTCTTTGGTGTTATTATCAAGCCCAAATCTAAGGTATGCATGTGTCTCTGGGTTTCAGAAATGTGGCCGTTTTGTTCTCCAGCTACACTTTTCAGCTCAACGCATAATTTCATCCCACTCCAGGAATAAGCTTTATTTATTTTCCTTTCCTCGGCTGCATGAGTTTTCACAAATGGCCTAGGGGGTACAGTATTTACAGCATTTCATCCACAGTTTAAGGCTTTTGTTCAGTAGTATAGATAGGAAAGAAGAATCTGGCAGATTTTGTTACCTCTTCTATAAAACTTTTCTATTCTTCTTTCTTAGGCTTGCATCACAATGCGTATTTCTTAAGGTTCTATCTTTTCTGTGAGTGTGCAGGAAGAACCTGGAAGATGATATGGACTCCCATAGTTTGAGACTCACTAAAATTTCAAAATGTTCTTCTGGCTCACACTTGGTCTTGGGCAATTTATCAATTATTCAACTGAGCCGTTCTTACCTCTGTGTAGGTGAATCTAGCCAAAGGCCACAAGTTTGTACATCCCCACTCTGCCTGTCAGTACTATGTTTCCTTAATTTTTTGGTTAGTTGATTGTTCTAAAACTTCCACAATCCAATAAGTTTTAAGAAAATCATATTTCATTTTAAGGGTAGGGGTGATACTCCTTCCATATCTTTATACCCCAAGGCAAAAGCTGAAAATCCTGTGATAGAATTCTATAATAATATTATTAGGCTGCTCTGCCATACCTTATTTTCTATAAGTCACCTGACTAAAGTTAATTAATACTTATGGTTATTGACGTGACACAAGAGATGTTATTTGCATTTAATGATACAAACTGCATAAGACACTGAAGAGAACAACTCAAAATGTGACCTACATCAAATTCTTGCAAGTTTCCCAAATTCCGGAAACAAGAAAAATGTATTGCTACTTTGCTTGATGTTTTTTTTTTCAAGTACAATGAATGTGTGTATAAAATTAAATGCAAATCTGTAGTAGAGATTTACTATTAAGTTTTTTAAACATGCTGAACAATGCTGGCTGAAAAAATAAAGAAATAAAATGTCCTATTGAAATTGGATACTGCAATTCAACACTGGACAGCTTTAGTTCATATATTTCAATGACCATCAAGCTCATATACTGTTAGATTTAATTATCTCAAGTATATAACTCAGGAACCCTGGTATGTTATTCTAATAGCGCTATGAAGCTTCCAGTATTTGCAGCTGTGGCCAGAGCATGTTAATCAAACTAGTGTCTTATAAAATGAAAGTGATTATAAAATGTTAGTATAATTTATGTGGGGTAAGAAATGGAAGGGAATATATATTCAGAAAGCCCAGTTTTGAGATCTGACAATACAACAATTTTCTTTTCCTTCCAGCAGATAAGAGAATTATATTTACAGAGCTTATATTTTAAAAATAAATCTAATGCTTGCTTTTTCTTACTTGATCATGAAGTGTTCCCCTGGCTAAGGATGCCACTCAAAAACATATTCTATTTCTGTTTATAAGTACCACTGGGACAATGCTGATATTGTACTTGGTTTCTTTCCAGAAAAGAATATTCTTTCTTTCACTTTACATATTCATTTTACTCTAGCACAGCAATATTTTCAAGTTTTTAAAATGTAAAATTGATTTTGTGTTATTGAAAATTTTATTTTGAAAATATTGAAATAGCACCAGAATTCAAAAGAGGTAATTTGAATGTTTGCTGCCCTAATTTGTTGCAAAGATAGAATAAACTACGTAAGTGTAAAAAATCCTAGATTTAAAAAAAGCAGTTGGCATTGAACATATTAATGTTTTAGTTATTATATTTATGTATATTTTTTACTGATTTTATGATTTTAATATCAAATTCTCCAATTGAAAATCAGTCTGTATGCCTCTAAAAATTAGTAATCCTCACTTGATGCTCTTTTCCATACATGATGGCCACATAAAGCTATTTGTTATTTCTGTCTGAACTGATGAATTTTGCTTGTTGGATTGTTGCTATATCTGCAGAACTTTTAATTCTCAAAAATATGTGTCTGTGAAATAAAAATAAAATTTTAGCAAATGCAGAACAACATAGAAAAGCCAAAACATTGTATATTAATTTTGAGAACGCAACATTTTTTGCTACAAAGTTGTCAACTTAACCATATTTTGTCTAGAAAATACTGAAAGATTTTAATTCACTGAGCACACACTAAAATGGCAGAGCTTAGTGGTGTCTATTAAGTAAAAGAGAAGGAAGCTACCCTAAGGGTAAAACAAATAATCTTTAAAAAGCTAATTTTATATGCTGCCTACTTTTTAAAAATTCTTATATAACTGTCATATTGTATAAAATATCTAAATTCAATGTCTAGATTTTCTCAAGAAGATGATGCTGGTATGTGATGGATATAGCATTTAAAAGCATTGCTCAACACTCTCTACATGCTGTAAAAATATTGCTTATGGTGTTGTATTGGCCTTTTCCTGAAGTATGCAGCGTCAAATTTCTGATATCATAACTTGCGTCATAACAAAAGATTTGTAAAAACAAAATTTAATTATATTTAATTAAAATAAAACTTTTCTCCAACAAATACTGATTTTGTTACCTTTTACTGCTGAGTATTCTAGAATAGAAAAACTACCACTTTTTATATAACTCTACTTATTTCTACATATTTAATATTTTCAAGCTTTTCATAGTTCCTCGTGTCGCTTATGTTTTTATTTATCTTTTTTTGCTCGTTTTCTCAAAATTCTAGAATAATTTAAGCCTCCTGTCCTGAACAACTTCTATTTCCCCCATCCCAGTATGCTATTCAATGCTCTCAATACAGTCTTTAATTTAGCAGTTACCTATTTCAGTTTGATATGCCTTGATCTCACTTTATCTCACTTTCCTTTTTATTGAATCTTCACAGATATTGTGTTCTCTCAATCATTTTTAGAGTATAAACCATATAGTAATCTTTCTTCAGTTAAGGTATAGCTTCCTCATTCCTAGCAGAGAGTCATCTCATGTTCAGTAACACTGCCTTTATACTCAGAAAGAGGAGTTCTACACCTTGAGAAGTTCCACTCTCGCCTTCCATCAAACAGGCTTCTGTGCATGAGATGAAGGATATACAGTATCCTTCTTCTACAACATGCCCCAAGTATCAGAGAACTCAGATTCCCTGCTAAAACTGGGATTTTCCCACATTGACAGACATGTCTGTAGGAGGAGTAGGATAGAGTCATGAATGGGGATGAAAGGGGTGTGGATACTTTCTAAGGTATGCTGTGAAATCCTAAGCAGTTCAAGTATTTCAAATTGGAGCATGGTTTTATTAGTCTTTATGAAATTATATTCTTTCAAAGAAGGAGGATATGACATATTATTAACATTTTATTAACTTGATTTATAGCATTTGAATATCTAGACATATTTTTTTGACATCCATTTGTCCTCTTGCTTTAGACCCTAAAAATGTTAGAGACCACCATGAAATTCAGGCATGTAGATGTACCAGCAAACCTAGGTACCTGCATACATGCACACACAAAAGTGATAGTTCATTTGGAAGTTCCATGGGAAATGTATACGGTGGCTTCAATACTTCAGACAGTATTCACCTTGATTAAAGTTTGGGATAGGCAAGGAATTTTAAAAATATGGTGTCATGAAACTCTTTTAGTTCACATATGTTTTAAAATTGCTGCTTTTAATGGCACAAGACTAAGACAGCAAGGGATATTTACAACTAAGTGAGCCAGATAAAGAGTCCTGTTAATTGACTAGACTGGCTGAAGCAAAGGTCCTAAGTAAGATTAAATGTAGTGACTATGTCTCTACTTTATCCTAAGTTGCAGATTCTCATCCTGTGTTTTCCAATATTCATTATAAAGAAAAAAGTCATAATCCAAAATGTCAAATTGTTTTATCCCAGCAACTCCTAAATTATTCAGAGTATAGTTTTAGTTGATAAGTTGAGCTGGTTATTAATAATTAGCTTTGTGAGTATTTTTCCAGTTCTCTTTCTTTATTCATTCTTATTATCTACACAGACACTATAATACTTCTGATGGGGGGAGATCATTTAAGATTGCTTAAATTTCAGCAGCTGCTTATAATAAGCTAATATTAAATTTGCCTCTAACAATATTCTGCACACACACACACACACACACACACACACACACGTTTTGTTTCTTCTGTACTACATTCCCAGAGGGGGCGATAAAATGTAATGTTTTTAAAACTACAAAATTATATGTCATTAAATTACCTCACCACCAGTGTAATACATATTTCAGTCACAGAAAATGCGTAAATAATTATTAAACCACAATATCATATGTAACTTGGCTCAAGTGAACTTAAACCCATTCACCCTGTTATATATGGAGTAATAGTGGTGAGGACTATACCAAGAGACTACTAAGATATGAAATCTGGAGTCTACAGAGACAGAACTCACTATAAGTAAGAGAATAAGAAACATGAGCTGGGTCTAAAAACAATGACTTAGCATGATATGGAATAGGTGATTTTGAGCAAAATGTTGAGCTTATAACTCAGATTATCTTCTCTTCTATTATAAATCAATAACTTTTCTCGAGTCTAGGTGGAAATAAGTGTGGTTGCATTTTATCTCTGTGAAACATTGAAGCACAAAGGAGACCAATAAAAAAAGACATTTTACATATATCTGTATATATTTGTTATTTATTTTGGTCACTCAACTTTGAATGTTGTTTGATGTTTGGGAACATTCAAGTTGATGAGTCTTGCTGAGGAAGCAATAACTACTTTTATCTATAAAAGCAAAACAATTCTGTGAATTCACTCTCTTAGCTTCCATTGCACATGACCTAGGATCTATTAATCAAACATATCTGTATCAGATTGACGCGGGAGTGAGAGATGAAGATCTCTCCGTCTGTCTGTCTCTCTCAGTCTTTGTCTCTGTCTTTCTTTTTCTCCCCACAGTAGTAGTAGCAGCAAACCCCGGCATCTAGTTCTACTCGGCAGCAGTAGCAAAATTTTTCTAAGATAAATTTTTAACACTGCTTTGGAATGTTTCTGGAAATGTAGCTTTGAGTCTTGTTCTCCAAGCCTCCCAACAAATCTGTGAGCTGCCCTCATGTCCTTTTTCTGCTTAATCATCTAGTCAGCCTTTATTGCTTGCAAATATGAATCCTAATTGCGACAAGACTGTAGAACAACGGTGAGATTTAAGGATTGCTCTTTCTTCATCAGACAGGATTAAATGTTGCCTAGCATTAGCACACTTCAATTTATTCTGAATCAATACAAGCTAGAGACAGAGCTAGTAGTATTAATGCCCACATTGGTTCTAAAACTGGTGGCCACAATCTGCGATAATTTCGCAGAACAATGCTTGCATTTTCAGCTAGCACATTTTGGTAGCAGTGGCAATTTCAGTGAGTGCCTTTTGCTTTAAGTGGCTTTTGTGAATTAGCGTGGATTGACACCACAGGTGAAAAGTAACACTGGTGGCTTCAGAGGCAAAGGGGGATGATGTTCTTGTTATGACAGGGACAAACAGCACTGAAGGTACCTCTCTATGACTGCATAAAACCCCATGGCTAGAACAAAAGAGGAAATTATCAAAAATCAAACACATTTAAGAAAATTTGTTTACAGGTATTGATTAGACAGATCTTGGCAAATCCTTGAAATATTTGGGAATGGGGAAAAGTGGGGCTTCAAAGAGAGACAGAGAGTTCCAGTGAATTCTCTGGTGGGGGTTGTAACTAGACAAATGCTCTTCATTACCAAAATTATCTACATTTTATTATTGATTATAAAATCTACACATTAATACATACATAGAAAAGAAAATGCATTTGGTGGGGATATACAAGTTATGAAAGACATATAGAATGTCTTCTAACAAAAGATTTTGGCTTCTGACCAAAATATTATAGTGCCAAAAATACATTAATTTTCTAGGGTTATTAATTATTTATTTATTTATCTGGAGATGGAGTTTCGCTCTTGTCCCCCAGCTGGAGTGCAATGACGCAATCTCGGCTCACAGCAACATCTGCCTCCTGGGTTCAAGAGAGTCTCCTGCCTCAGCCTCCTGGCTAGCTGGGATTACAGGTGCCTGCCACCACACCTGGCTAATTTTTGTATTTTTAGTGGAGACAAGGTTTCACCATGTTGGCCAGGCTGGTCTTGAACTCCTGACCTCAGGTGATCCATCTTCTCGGCCTCCCAAAGTGCTGAGATTAAAAGCGTGAACCACCGCACCTGGCCTAGGGTTGCTTATTAACAAACTTTCACATTGTTCAAAGTGTACAATGGTGTATATAAGCAAATAAAGGAAGAAAGGTATGCCTAAATGTGGGAAATAGGTTGTGATGAGATAGCAGCAAGAATGAGGACGTGAATATTCTAGGCACATTTATAAAAGAGTTTATGATGGGAAACAAAAATAGCTGGGTGGATAACAAAAAGTCTTGAACCCCAGAAAGAGAATGAAAACCTTCAAAAGGCTTTATTGGTTTTGTTGTCAAAGTGGTTTTTGAATGCTGAAAAATGTGTATTTGTATCAACTACAGAACATATTAATCTACTGAGGATTTTGTATAAAAGTGTATTGCAGATTTTTTATTGTTCTATTCTGTAAATTGACTTTCATCAGATTTGCTTCTCATATGAATAATTTTCCTGTCTCTGCTTGCTGTTTATTGCATGAAATAATTGGCATTTTGATGACTATTTTGAAAGTGCAAGTTCTAGTACTTGACTGAGCTGTTCCTACAGCATTCAGATGGTGAATTTGTGTGGAAGCCTTTCCCATTTCACATTCTAATTCAAATCATAAATCAAAGTTGTGAATGTAAAGGATTGTGAATAGTACAGCTCTGTATAGATTCATAACAAACTAAATTAACCCACAGGCTAGAATGGAAAGCTAAAGACATCTTTCAATTTGAACCGATTGGCTATTGAAATAAAAATTTGGCAGCTAGAGAATACAAAGCAGATTGGATAACATAATCCCCATGAGAGCTTTATTTGACATAAACATGAGTTTCTCATGTCATGCTTAGTATGTAGGTATGGTGATTTCAGTCACTTTTTAGCACTTTAAAGTGCTTGACTTTTCCCCAAAATTTCCTATTTAAAAACTGGTATTTTCCTAAGAAGTTTTTTTTTTTTTAAAAAAATTCTACCTTAGTTTTCTATAAATTTTGAACAGTGTTTTATTTTGTGTAATATGCCTAAAAATGTGTTGTAAAATATAATCATGTATATGTTTTTAACAAAATAATTTTTATGTTCTAAAATGTGATTCAACATATGCAATTAGTTTCTACAATGACAAAAATATTTCCTCAAATGCCAACTCATCAAGATTTTTCTCAAATTGTACTTATATACAAGCTCGGCTTTGTACTTGTAATCATTGTTGTCTTGTATACCTTAGAGGTGTACTGGAAGGGAGCAATAAAAGAAAATTTATTTATAAGTGAAGAAATGTCTCCGATTTAATGAACTGAGTTCTTCTATTGTTATAATAAAAAATACTTCCGATCATGCAAATCCTTTAAGAAGCTAAAATAGTTTTTATATAAAGGATATAGAAAATAGATATCTTATGTATACTCTTAGTTTTTTTCTTTTAGAAAAAGCAATTATTTTGTCAAATAGTATCTCTTTTACTGTCTTTTCTCTTTTGTCTTTGTTTTCCTCTGGATATTTTATTTTCAATTCTCATATTAGAAAGTAAGAAATATAAAACTAAAATGTGGCCATTTTAAGCACAGATTCTCAACATGTACATGATACAGTAAAATACTAAATAAACTTCCTGAAATACCCAGGGTAGTAGATGAAGCCTCACTTTCATGTTTTCTGGTACTGTATAGAGTTTACAGTATTTCTAGGAAAGATAGATTATTTTTGTAGCCTTTCCTACAAATATTGTCTAAATGGTGTTATAATCGGAAAGGCAAAAGATTCAGACTTGCTTTCTTTATTCTGTTAATATTATGCAAATCCAGATGAAATATGAAATGTAAGGATTTTTCCTACATTATCTTGAAAATTCAAAAGGTTATGTAGGTACTATATAAAAATACATATATTTGTTAAATAAAATATATCTGACTTGAAAGCTTTTTTATATCCTTAAAATGATTGTATTAATCTACTAACTTTTCAACAGTCAAATTATTAATTTTTTGGTTTATAGAATGTAAAATACAGATGTAAAATCCAAACTAGAAAATAAGTTTGAAAATCAGTGCCTACTAGCTGTGACTATTTTACTTATAGATGTAGCATTGGTATCATGAATCATGGTAGTAATTGTAAATTAAGACTGCAAAAGACAATAGCTAAAAATAAGGGATGTGTAATTTATATTCACTCATCTACTTTTAATGAGGATATCTTTATCCAATACTGATATATTGATTAGCACTTTGAAAAAAATGTAAATGCAGAGAAGAATCATTCCCTAGAACTATGACTACTAATTGAACAAAAGACTTTTTTCAATCTGCAAAGCATGACAGTTTTATACTTTGAATATGTATATTATAGATCAAAACTAGTTTTTAAAAACTTGATTTTTAAAAATCAAGTATCTGCCAGTGCCAGTGCTACCTGATATTAATATTTAGTTAAGTACTTCAAGAAAACTATTGACTTTTTCAACCTTTCTCTATATTCAATTGTGCAGGCATTCATTCAACAACCATTTGTTGGGAATTTACTAAGGAGTGGTGCTAGGAACTCCCTTGAAATTGGTGTTTGTTTCCATGACTCTGAAATAATATGCCAGGTGGGCAATAGGAATAATAATGCAGAAAGATTAGCGGAGTCTGGATCCTTAAGGTGTAAAGATCTATAATCTCCATGGTGAATAACCAATCTCTAGCCTTTTTTGTATGTGTGAAAAAAGAAATCAACTTCTATGTTGTTTAAGCCATTATTATGTTGCAGGTTAGTTATGACAAGTAGCACAGTCATTGATATGCAAATTATTATGAAACAAAAAAAGGTTTTTAAGGTATTGAATAGGAGAAAAAATATCAAAGGATCTATATGGAGTGATGGACTGGATCAAGGAAAAGTAACATTTAGGTGAAAGAGCTAAGAATATGAAGACCTAGACATTTTATCTACTGATCTTCATTGCTTAATATGGGCAGGCTTGATCATCCAAGAAAGGTTAGGCTTTAAGTGTAAGATTGGGGAAATAAGATGTATTTCACCAACAATTGAGAAAGGACCCTGAACCACAAAGGGGAATCGTAGCCTTAGCTATAACACCTCAATCAGTCTAGTGACACCTAAGCCATAGGCACAGCTAACCTGTACTTGAATTCCTGACCTATAGAAACTGTAAGACAAAAAATTTGTGTTGTTTTAAGCTGCAAAATTTGTGCTGATTTATTACATAACAATAGAAAACGTATACACTAGACAACTAGGTCCAAGCAAATAAAAGAACATTCTACATGAGAATGTGCCAGACACACTCTTATGAAATGTCATATGAAATTTACATTGATTGAATAGTGTAAATTTTTTATATTTTTTTTACATTTCATATTTTCTTTTTTTATTATTATTATACTTTAAGTTTTAGGGTACACGTGCACAATGGGCAGGTTAGTTACATATGTATACATGTGCCATGCTGGTGTGCTGCACGCATTAACTCGTCATTTAGCATTAGGTATATCTCCTAATGCTATCCCTCCCACCTCCCCCCACCCCACAACAGTCCCCAGAGTGTGATGTTCCCCTTCCTGTGTCCATGTGTTCTCATTGTTCAATTCCCATCTATGAGTGAGAACATGCGGTGTTTGGTTTTTTGTCCTTGCGATAGTTTACGGAGAATGATGATTTCCAATTTCATCCATGTCCCTACAAAGGACATGAACTAATCATTGTTTATGGCTGCATAGTATTCCATGGTGTATATGTGCCACATTTTCTTAATCCAGTCTATCATTGTTGGACATTTGGGTTGGTTCCAAGTCTTTGCTATTGTGAATAGTGCCGCAATAAACATACGTGTTCATGTGTCTTTATAGCAGCATGATTTATAATCCTTTGGGTATATACCCAGTAATGGGATGGCTGGGTCAAATGGTATTTCTAGTTCTAAATCCCTGAGGAATCGCCACACTGACTTCCCCAATGGCTGAACTAGTTTACAGTCCCACCAACAGTGTAAAAGTGTTCCTATTTCTCCACATCCTCTCCAGCACCTGTTGTTTCCTGACTTTTTAATGATCGCCATTGTAACTGGTGTGAGATGGCATCTCATTGTGGTTTTGATTTGCATTTCTCTGATGGCCAGTGATGATGAGCATTTTTTCATGTGTGTGTTGGCTGCATAAATGTCTTCTTTTGAGAAGTGTCTGTTCATATCCTTTGCCCACTTTTTGATGGGGTTGTTTGTTTTTTTCTTATAAATTTGTTTGAGTTCATTGTAGATTCTGGATATTAGCCTTTTGTCAGATGAGGAGGTTGCAAAAATTTTCTCCCATTCTGTAGGTTGCCTGTTCACTTTGATGGTAGTTTCTTTAAAGTTCATATGGAACCAAAAAAGAGCCCGCATCGCCAAGTCAATCCTAAGCCAAAAGAACAAAGCTGGAGGCATCATGCTACCTGACTACAAACTACACTACAAGGCTACAGTAACCAGAACAGCATGGTACTGCTACCAAAACAGAGATATAGATCAATGGAACAGAACAGAGCCCTCAGAAATAACGCCACCTATCTACAACTATCTGATCTTTTACAAACCTGAGAAAAACAAGCAATGGGGAAAGGATTCCCTATTTAATAAATGGTGCTGGGAAAACTGGCTAGCCATATGCAGAAAGCTGAAATTGGATCCCTTCCTTACACCTTATACAAAAATTAATTCAAGATGGATTAAAGACTTAAATGTTAGACCTAAAACCGTAAAAACCCTAGAAGAAAACCTAGGCAATACCATTCAGGACATAGGCATGGGCAAGGACTTCATGTCTAAAACACCAAAAGCAATGGCAACACAAGCCAAAATTGACAAATGGGATCTAATTAAACTAAAGAGCTTCTGCACAGCAAATGAATAGTGTAAATTTTAAAGATCTCAGGTCTCCTTCTGCAAAGATGAATCAGGTTGTATACTTTTTTGTGTTTAAGCATTCATATGGTGGTGTCTTTTATAAAAGAATCATACAAATTTTAAATACCTAAAGATTTATCCTTTTTTAAAAGTGAGATTCCTTTTTTTTTTTTTTTTTGAGATGGATTCTCACTTTGTTGCCCAGGCTGGAGTGCAGTGGTGCGATCTCAGCTCACTGCAACCTCTGCCTCCTGCATTCAAGCAATTCTCCTGCCTCAGCCTCCCAAGTAGCTGGGACTACAGGCATGCATCACCACGTCTGGCTAATAGAGACGGGGTTTCGCCATGTTGGCCAGGTAAAATGAGGTTCTAAAAACAGAAATATCTATGGATCTTTCTTCTTCTTCTTCTCCTTTTTCTATTTCAAGCCCCTCATTTCCATGTACACTTGAGATGATACCACTGCACAACATCAAAAACTACACCTCAGTGTGCTACCCTTAAAGCTGAAAGGATAGTATAGTATTTATCAGAAAATTGGGGCCAGAAGAAGAAGTTACAATGTGCTGAACTTGGAATCATATGTATCTTCCTGAATAAACAAGTAATTTTCATATTTTTCTTTTGCTTAAATAATCTTAAAATGATGTTAATATTATAATAAGCTTTGGATAATTTCCTGGGAAATTATAGTAAAGTCTACAAATGTAGCTAGCAATATAGATGCTTAAAAGTAATCTTTAAACTGGCTGAACACATTCAGGCCTTTGACTTTCACTCCAGGCCTTTATGTAAATGTTTTGCTTTAGGCATGATCCTGAAATTAATATATTGTCAAATCCATATAATTTAGAAGAACAGCATTAATTTATTCATTTTCTAAATATCATGGTTTCTCATAAAGCTTTCTTAGCCAAGGAAGGAGATAAGATACTTTGTGGCTTAGTTTGGTTTGCAACCTAAACAGCACTTATTGGCTACAATGGTCTAGACACCTGTTATTCCGTTATTAACTTATATTTTTGAAAGATTAGTTTCATTCTCTCTGGGAATGAGGAGAGTAACACTGTTATGTGTGGTTGCTGTCTTCTTTAGGGCTTGTACCTGTTAGGGTATATAAACTGGGAGAAGTTATCAGATCCTTTCTTTGTCTAGTTTTCTGAAAGCCAGAGAGAAGAATGATTTAGCTGTATTTGGGCAGCCCCACCTTCAGCAGGCATACATCACACACACACACACACACACACACACATTCACATCACAGCTATCTCCATCATATACATTAATTGAGCTTCATATGAATAAAGACAGATGTCTGTTTCAACGAAGAGAGACACAGATGGAAAATTTCTATCATTTGTTGCACTTTTTCAACTTGAAGAACCAGAGGATAAATCTTTAAATATAAACTTTAAAGATTTCTTAGTGAGAACATAGGGATGCCGTTCTTATTATTTGTCATTTATGGTCAAATGTAAAATCAATAAAAAGTAACTTGGAAATAATATTTACAAATAACCTTAGGTAATGAACAAAATATTTCCTTTATTATTTTAAGTCTTTGAAAAAAATATTACAAAGAGCAGGGATTCATTTATAGACTTGACAAGAAAATTTCTGGCTAAACTTTGTTTCTTTGAAAAGGAGCTAAATTGCTTCAAGGCTGCATATGGAAATGCCTAACTGCGCTTTCTATTACATATTACAGTAAAGAAAGATTGTAATAAATGGATCATATTTATTTCTTTATAGATATAATCTGGAGACATTTTATGCAGAAGAGCCAATGGAGGTGGGGCTTTTCTGGTAATTACTGCCATCAGCTGAAAAGAGATCACAGTTCTAGACAGTTAATTTTACTGTCTCCACTTTCTTGGGCCCACACAGTCCTATCACCCCGCAATTCTGAACCTGCATGGTCATTACTTTCATATCTTTTTGAAGCAGAGATGGGAATAAATAGAATATTGTATATTTTCCTCTTACTTGAAAAATGTGAGTCTTCTCTTTTCCCAGGAAAGGAAGAGAGTTTGGCTAATTCATTTATGAAAAAAACTATTTTACTTGACATTTACTGTATTCATTATACTTATGAAATAGATAATGGGAGTTATTGAAGGGAACTTTCTGGAATTAAAGTATGCAAAATATTTTGATGACCCATAATATAAAAGCATCTATAAAATTCTATCATAATGTAACAAAATTTAATAGATTCAGCCACTCATTTTAAAAACATATAAAGTAAATTATAAAGCATATTGTAAGAAGGCTTTACTGGAAGATCTAGATAAGCTATTATGCATGTTTAATAAGTGAATATAAGCTATTACCATATGCTTTGAATAGCAAGTAATTTAATATATTTGATTTATCCTGAGGGAAAAATGCAATAGATTTAACAAAAAATGTTTATACTTCAAACTAAATATTAATCTTTTATTTGAACCAAAGTGTAAGGACACACTGCAAAGAAGAAGCTGTTTGGTATACCTTCTTTTGCCCCAGCATTTTAGCTGTCCAAGTCAGATAGTATCTTTTATGTTCTTCACCATCTTGAGGGGGAAAGGCCATATCAATTCTGTCAAAAATATTTTTCATATAACTACAATTGTAAAGTTTTCGAAGTTGTACATTATATATTCATGAACTATTAAAAGTGAAAAATATCATAACTAATAAAATTTGTTGATTTTAGAGATGACTGCTTGGCCCAAAAAATTTAGTCAAATATATGCAAATCATTATTAGAAAATGAAGACCAAGTTCCTTAGCTCATTATACATGACCTGCAGTAAATTTTACAACATCTTCCTTTCAGGCATAATTTTCCAAAAGACAAGGCTAATCATTGCATTAGTCTGGTTAAGTTATAGTATGCTGCAGTAAATATCAACTTCAAAATCTCAGTGATTTAATATAGCAAGTTTACTCTCATTCAGTGTTCATGATAAGTTTGAGTAACTCTCTTGTATGGCTGCCCTCTAACTGCTATCCAACCTCCTTTGGTACTGTAGGTGCTGCCATGTCACCCTGAGTCTTTGTTCCCATGGCTGGAGAAAAAGGACTGTGGAGAATTCACAGCTATTCTATTTTTGTCTCAGATGTTGCATGTATCACTTCTGAATATAGTCCATAAAATAGAATTAATCTAATTATTTTAACTACAAGAGCACTGAGAACATTGTTCTTTCTGCGACCAGGAAGAAGAAAAGTAGATGATGGTTGAATACTAGACATGCCTTACTAATAATGTCTTTCTCATGATCCCGCTTGTATTCTTATAAGTCATGGTATCTATTTTGAATTGGATAGCCTCTGCCACTTTTTGTATGTGTAAATTTTGTTTAATTTATGATTCATACTGCTTTCTTCACCTGTATATATGATCTGGAACAGTGATCCTATAATAATTTTGTACCTAGTAGTACATATTAAATTTTAAAAAGCCCTTGCACATAGTAAATGTTCAACAAAGCTTTGTTAAATGAATAAATAAATGAAAAAATGGTAGCTGGTCATTCAGTACTACTCTCTTGTGGATAATTTTAACATATTGTCACTACTCTGGCAACATATCTATGTTCTATTTGGGCTTCAAATGAAACCTTCTCAATAGAGCCATATCTTGCAGGCCAACTGGAGTGTCATCTCTAGCCATTCAAATTTAGAGCTCTGGTTATCAGAAATTCTCATTTATCATTCCCCATGCACCACAATAGTGTGTAAGTAGAAAACATAATGGTTTAAATCAATGGACTGGAGTTAGCAGTTGGGTTCCAAGCCCAGGTATTGACTTACTGTGTGACCTTGGGCAGATGATTTAAAATATCTGCCGTATTTACTTCACCTGTGACATGGAGTGAAAATAACAGCAACAATTTCATAGATTTTTAAAAAATTCAGTGTGATACTCCTTGAAAAACACTTAGAAAAAAAGCTTGAATCAGATGGGTAATACATTCTATTATATATATATACACACACACATATACACACACACACATACACACAAACATATATATATGTATATATACAGCCAGGGAGTCAAATACTAGAAAATAGAAGAGGTATAGAATTTGTAATCCAAACACGAGCTCTTTTGGATAAGATAGGCTAGAGACAATTTGAGAATAAGAGCTGTATATGAATACTCGCCACTGCTTCAGACCCGTTTTCTGTTGTATTGAACCCACAGTATTGATCTATATATTCTAATCAATGTGCAGAAGTATTTTTATAGGCTTCTTATAGTATCAATCTGACTCTGAAATTTAGGAAACACAATATTAAATCTTGATTTCTTATTGACTGGCTACATAAATTATAGCTAGTTTTCAAAGAATGTATTTCCCAAGATATTATTAAAGATGTTAAGTGAAGCCTGAATGGTTCTATAGAAATAAATGAAACAAAAATACCTTTCCCCTCACATTATAAAACCAATGCTTTGTTATTGGAGATAATTTGAAGTGTATCTCAAGTCAAAATATTTAAACACTCATTTTCTGTAATATGACAATACTCTTGCTCCCATACTATGACTGTAATATCATAAGTCTTTGGTTGAAATATAAATGTTTTACCTATGGAAGTAAAACACAAGTTACCAACACCTTATGTGCTTTGGCATGAATTATTTTATCACTTTTTCTTCCAAGAAACCTAAGTATGTATAGAAATTTATGCAGAAACAGGATATTTCAATTGAGATGGAAAAAGATATTTCCAGAATGTGGAAATCTGCTCAGGAAATATAAGCTTATTTGGATTCAATGTAAGTGAGCTAATTAGTAACAGGGTAGCAAAAACATAAGGTATCTAAAAGGGCTAAGGTTCACCAAAGAATGATAATTTATTTTAACTTCTTAGCACCTAGTGTCAGGTTTTAACTTCTTAGCGCCTAGTAATTACTTTTCACATATTCATTTTATGTGATAAATTATTTTTATAAATTTGCTTGTAATATTATATATTTTTGCAAGTAATAGCAGTAGGAAGCAGACAAATGCCTAGGCAGAGAGGGGTGGGTCCTTGGTGAAACCCCACCTCCAAGACAAAGTTTAAAACCTGAAAGCCAAGCTACAAGCCAAATCCACAGACCAGATTGAGAACTTGTCTTCCTGTTTGGCATGCTTTCCTCTGATTGATTCCCACCCTTCACCTATTTTACATATATGTACTTTCCCTAATTGGTTTTTACACTGTTGTGCCCACCTTTGGGTGTTGCCTTTGTTTTAACCTTTTTTGCATACTCAAACCAATCAGCATGCAATCCCCTATTCTGAGTCCATAAAAGCCCCAGACTCAGTCACAATGGGAGATAAACTATCCCTGCATTTCCTATCCACCAAGAGCTGTTCCATCGCTCAATAAAATTATCCACCCTCCTCACCCTTCAATTGTCAATGTATTCTCGTTCTTCTTTGATGCAGATACCACTGAAAGTGGGTACGAGCTATAACACAGGTGGCTGGGGCACGCGCGGCCTGGCTGCAAGATGAGCTGGTGCAGAAGCCAGGTGTGGCCTGGGCAGGCCAAGTGGGTGGGCCACCTTCTGCAGCAGGTAGCATGCCTGAGCGAGGCCTGGGCTGAAGTGTTGCTGACTGGAGTTCCCTTGCTGGCAAAGTGAACAAGAAAAATCCTGTATCATAAAGAACCTAGTGTAATAACAACTCATAGAAATATAGCAAATACAACTGTGAATAAATTCTTAACATTTGTGAAATTTTATCCATAAATGTCTTTTCAGTAATTTTAGTGCAAAATTGAGTAACTTTGATTCCTTAAAAACAAAAATAAAATAACCTTTGTTACTCTAACCAGGAAGCAGAATAAGTGCATCATTTAATTCTCAACACTCCCTGGAGACAAAAGTGTTATTGCTCAACACACATACGTATGCATAAAGTAAATTAGGGCCAGAAGTATTAAGTAACTTGCTCAAGAAATCCCAACTAGAAAATTGCTGAGCTGGAATTTAATCTCATTATCTCATATTTATTTTTCTGTTAAGATACAAGCAATTAGATTCACCATAATTTTTGCCTCACAACACACTCTGATCATTAATCTCCATAAAACCCACTTTTTATTTATTTTATTTAAGTATGAATATGTCTATAATTATATATTTGTATTTTAATAAGAACATAGGAATCTACCCACAAAACCAGAAATAAAAACCTCAAAAATCTCCCTCTGTGGTGTCCTCATCTCAAATCCTTGCCTCTTCCTTTAAGACAACCAACATCCTGAATTCAGTCTTCATGATTACCATACCTTATGGTTTATATTCTTTTATGTCCTAAAGAATATATGCATTAACATTATTTTTAATTTATAAAATGTATATCATATTGTATGTAATTGTGTGTATATTGTCACTTAATATGTTGTCTACATTCACCTTATATTGTAGTCTGTTACTGTACATTAGATTTATTTTGAAACTAATTAAATTCCACAAGATGAGTGTTCCACAAGACTTTAAATTTCTAAGAGCACATAAAAAATGTGCCATATTACGTAGATGTGAACAATTCTAAATATATTAACAATGGTAAAATATTTAAAAATGTTCAAAAAGACAAACCATGAAAAAGAAAAAAATGCAGGGTTATCATCACAAATTGATGTTCATTTTCAATTTTTTTCTTAAATAATTTTATGACCTGATTACTTCCGCAGATGAGTCCATTTATCCATGTGTAAATTGCAGGAATGGTTCAAATATGTAAATGAATAACCATAATTAAAGAGTTTTATCTGTAACCTATACTAAATCATTTCACTATGTTTTAGCAATAGATTAAATAGGGTCTATGTAAAGTATTGTGGAGAGAATTCCAAAATATGAGAAATTATTTCTTATGAGAAATAAGGTAGCCACATATACAGCTTGAGAATAATCTATTCTAGTAAGGTCACTGTTAAGGCAGGTAATAGGGTGGTCTTGGATTTGTTAGCAGGATAGATTGCCTGTTATCTAGGGACTCTGTAAGACAATATCTGAGACTCAAAAAGCTCTGCATTCTATTTCCCTATTCCTATTATTCCCACCTTAAGTGTAAGGAATCCATAAGAAAATAAGTCTACAATTTTCGGCTATGTCTCAATACACAGTATGGTATCTATAAGGATTATAAATATTATTATAACGTTAATAGGTACATGCTAATTATTAAAGAACTAGACATCTCCTAGATTGAAGAGGAGTATGATCACCCTTGCAAGTTGTTTTTCAAGGAACACTGGAAATAAGGGATTGTATAGCATCACTTCTCATGTACATGTGATCTTAAAGCAATCCCGTGATAAGAAATGAATTCCAGATATGTTTTTGTCCTCAGAGGATGGCTAAAAGTACTCACCATACTTTTTACAAATGGCCAGGGTTCCACAGGAGCCACACTTTCATAAGCAAAAAATGTCTCCTTGGAGTAGCTCTATAAATCACATAGAGCTGCTGTCCCAATTGCAATGGGGAGAAGCAATTAAGGGACATATGACTTGCCCTTCCGCCACCAGTCCCCTCCCAAAATGCAACCATTAACACTAGGCAGAATGTGTAGATCATTCACAAGGTTCCTAAAAGCAGAACAATACTGAAAACCTGCATTTTGTTACTTTCCTTGAAAAGAACTTTATTTTATATTCATTATACATGTAAAAAGGAGCACAAGTAAAATAAGAGAAGATAAGGTATCCCTATTTTAGCGAGTGACACAGTGATTGGTGGGATCATTGAGGTGCTGTTAGGTGAGCCTAGTTTTGCATGAATAAAATTATCATGGCATTAATTAAAATAGAAGTCCGCAGAGGGAAAAATAAAGTATGATTATAAAAATCTTCGGTTTTATGTTCTTTTAAATTAACAGGGAGATTAAATTAAGAAAATTTAAAATGGTGTAAAAGAGTTCCAACACTTCTTGCCATAAAGGAAAGAAGTTAAGACTATGTTTTACTCTCCACCTTCTGTTAATGTGTGGCACTACAAATTCCCTTTTAAAGATCACCTGTAAATCTTTTCTTAGTAGGCAGCAGGATTTACCAAATACAATTCTGAGAGAAATGCTTTCCTAGAATTCCCCCACCTTTTTATTTTACAGAAAAAATGGAAATTTTTGGCTGAACTCTCTTATTTTGACAAATGTGTAAAATGATGTGCTTACAGTTGCAATTGTGGGCATTATTCAGACCCTTAAATCTCTACATCTTCATCTTGTCCTGCCCTCTGCTCACCTCTGCAGTCCAAAATACATTCACCTTCTTAAAAAGGCATAAAACTGCTCTATAATGAATGACAATCTGTTGGCAGCATGTTTACGTATGTGTGCCTAGAATATCTAGGGCAGTATGGTAGCAAAAAGATATTTATTTTATAATGAATCTGTAACGTGCTCTAATGTTTCTTCCTTGGCCATATGGCACTCTAAGGGAGGATAGCACCCCAGCATGCAGCAGGCAGAAGTAGCAGCAGTTTAACAGTGGTAAATGTGCTCTCTCTGCCCTTCTACATCTACTGCTCCACGGACAAAAAGTTGAGAAGCTCTTATGGCAAATATGGTTATATGCTTTAAAAACTAGAACTTCTAATTGGCTTTGCCACCAGAATAAATTAAAAAATCTGGATGTATAATCAATGGTTTAGGGAAAAAGGCTTAGTTAAATAAAGTTATAAAATAGAAGAATAGTGTATTCATGAGTTTTTTAAAGTGTAACTGAGAAAATACAAGTAAGCGCCTTGTATGGATGTCTTACACTTAATGAGAGCTTACTGGTTTATCCTATACTAAAAATTATTATAAACTTTGAGAATAAATAGGAAATGGGTGTCGAATGTTGAAAAATCTATCCAGTTATATATTGTGCTATTTTTCTCTCATACAATTGTTTCTGTTGGCAAATTCAGTAAAGTCTACATCTCCATTAGGGAAATAACCCTTACACATAAATTAAAATCAGTGCTTCAAAATGGAGAGATGAATATGACCATAACATCCTTAGGGATGTGAGCCTAAATTTCAATTCAATAACACTAAATTACAATTACATTTTGGTTAGAAGGAATACATCGAAAGATTCCACGTAAATCAAATTAAGAGCACTTAGGCACAATTATCACTAGCATACAATTTGAATCACTTGGGATAAAGCCTTAGCAATTGTCTTCACCACAGGCAAAATAGCAACTGAAACCTAAAAATCAAAATTTAGAAGAGCAGTTTCGTACTTCTCACTTTAAACACAGCCAGAATAAATTATGTTTCTATAGTCCGTAATGTTGAGAGAAAATGAGTATACATATGTGTCGACATTTTATCTGCAAGCTTAGAACAACTTGAAGAGTTTAACGACATCCATTTTTTAAATCTATCTGATATGAAAACTATAATGCAAATTCATACCAGAAGATAAAATTTATTTGTTTTTCAAAATTGTATTCCTTTTGAATACAACTCTAATCTTAAACTTTTTTAAAAAGTCAACATTTTACCTAAAAAGAAGAGTTGTATAAAAGTTGCTTCTTGAAAAATCAAATAACAACATTTTATAAGTCAAAGATAAATTATATAAAATTTAACCAAAGCTTTTATCCAGTACTGAAACCTGCATCAGAGTTTATCATTTCAACTACATATGCATATTTCCACTTGTGGACAAAACTCTGTTTTGTTTTGTTTTTGAGGTAGAACATTCTAATTGTTCAATCTTTCTT
This sequence comes from Homo sapiens, assembly GCF_000001405.40. Classification (NCBI taxonomy): domain Eukaryota; kingdom Metazoa; phylum Chordata; class Mammalia; order Primates; family Hominidae; genus Homo; species Homo sapiens. Next base: position 85,074,271 of record NC_000005.10, read on the forward strand.
ATTGACCGAAAAAAACCTTTTTAATGAGATGAGCACATAAATTTTAAATTTAGTTACTTCACATATTTATCTTACGCAAGTGGTCTACCTAAAGAAAGTAGATTTACTTCTCTAGCCTCTGAAGGTGTTTGAATGTCTAACCTTGACTGAAATATCTTCTTTTCCTGTAGTCATTCCTTGTTTGTCATCATTTACGTAGTTCTCAACCTCTAGGTCAATCCAACACTAAATGTGTCCTTTTAACTGAATTCCCCATTCCATATGTGGACAAGCCAGTGGAGAGAAAAATGGGATTGTTAACTTCCTTGACCTGAGGCTTTTGTTTGTATTAATAACATAAAAAATTTACAGTATACTTGCAGTCCACCAAAACTTTCAGGTCTTTTTCACAGGAGGTATGTATAATTCAAGATCATACTATGACTATGTAATATTTTTTGCTTCTAAATGTGGAACTTTATATTTTCTCCTTTCTTCCTAATCAACAATGTTTTCACTATTTTGTGTTATCTAAATCAGTCTCCCTTGTAGTCAAATATGACTACATTTTTATGAATACAATGTGATCTGAAGTAATAACCACTAATTTCAGTCTGGTACTTGATGCTTTTGGAGTTTCTCTGCATGTTCTTGAAACCCTTTCTTCTTTCTGGAGTAGGCGGGACAATCCTAGGCACCAGGGTTGCAAATAATAAGCAGAGCTTTACCACTGACTTTACTGGTCCACTATAAACTGTTAAATAAAAGATCATTCCATTTGTATTAATTTTAATGTATCATACTTTTAAGGCTCATCTGATAGCATTACCACATGCCTAAGAGCCCCTTCATCCTTCTCTTAGATTGACTATTTATAATAAATCCCACAGTTTTACCACATTCTAACAAGAGTATTTATCCCTGTAATAAGCATGCATGCTTACCTTTTAAAATTTCAGATAACATGGAAAACCAAGACAACTTTAAGGAAAAAAATAGCAAAAGAAAGTATATAGGATCCAGATTTAATTGACTAGAAAACAAATGCTTGAATTACCATATATATATATATATATATATATATATAAATTTTAACTTTTAAATGGTGCTGCTATTGTCTGATATATTTCATAGAATTATTCAAAATGAAAAACCGTGCACTTATCTGAAACAGTAGTGTTTTTTCCCCTTCAACTTTCATGTGGTATTCAAAATCATCAGAAATTTAAAAGCATGCCACAGACTATCAAATAAGAAGTTGATGACTAGAAAATGTAGTTATTAAATGTCACTTTACTGTCTTCTGATGATCCTCTGTCTTCTGGAGCAAGTTTTATAGCCTTGCTTAACTTGTAAAACAATTTGGTAGAATGATTATAAATGTGTTAATCTTTACATAAATAATTTTATGTTACTTTACAAAAAGTTGATGAAAGCCTCCAGAACTTGATGGCAAAATGTAATAAAAAGTTATAAAAATTGTTAAAATATGTTGCCCCTAATAGCTTGACAAGAAATGTTTTATTGAAATTTTGCTGCTAATTCTTTATGAATTCAAATTAAATGAGGAAGCATTTTTATGTGGGAAAATAACCCACAGCTGTCTTCATATTCTTCCATGAAGCTGTCATTGAAAGGTTACCGATATCTTTCTACTTTATTTCAATGCATGACCAGTGATACCATTGTGCTTTCATTAATGTTAAATTGGAAACCTCGTAAAAGTTTTACTCTTTAAAATGCTGATATTTTTCAGTTAATGTATAAGAATATATAGAAGCATACTGTGTAAAAAGAGTTAATATAAATTAAAGGGCATGTCTCAAGTAATTAATTTGTTTCAAACATTTACTGCATTCTTAGTGTCCCAAGTCTTTAGTCTCTTTTAACACCTGGAGGTAGAATTGTAGACAGTTGAAAAATAAGTTATTTGGAAACATTGATTTCCCTGAAATCTACAGGTACTTTTGAAAAAAAATGTATTATCAATTCCTTAATAAAGTGATCTCTTTTTCTTAACTTTTATTTTAAGTTCAGGGGTATATGTGCAGGTTTGTTACATAAGTAAACTTGTGTCACAAGGGTTTGTTGTACAGATTATTTCATCACCCAGGTATTAAACTTAGTACCCATTAGTTATTTTTCCTGATCCTTTCCCTCCTCCCACACTCCACCCTCCAATAGGCCCCAGAGTGTGTTGCTCCCCTCTTCGTGTCTCTGTTCTCATCATTTAGCTCCCACTTATAAGTGAGAACATGAGGTATTTAGTTTTTTGTTCCTTAATTAGTTTGCTAAGGATAATGACCTCCAGCGCCATCCATATTCCTGTAAAAGATATGATCTCATGCTTTTTTTAAATATCTGCAAACTATTCCATGGTATATCTGTATGACATTTTTATCCACTCTATCATTTTAAACAAAGTAATTATTTATAGTACTTATGAATACTGGCCATACACTTTGTAAGGTTATTTTTTGAATTGTGGCTAATATAACTTCTTACATGATATTTTAACATTTACAAGTTTTAAAATAACTTTTAATTGAAAATTTTAAATGTACCTAATTGTATTTTTACAAAGTGTAATTATTAATATAATGATATATAAAAAGTACAGATTGATTACTTTTTATAAATTTAATAATCCATCAAATATCTAATCTGATAAAAAAAAAACCACACAGCATTACCACATCTCTAGAAGCATCCTTATTCTTCTATTAGTGGCAGCTCTTCTCAACCCTCTCCTGATTTCTAATGCCATAAATGTGTAACCCTGTATTTTAATTTTAAATTTATGTTCATGGTATCAGACAATTTATATTATTTTGCATCTGACTTATTTCATTCAAAACTAAGCTCATGAGATTTATTCATGTTTTTCAGTAAAGTAGTGGTTCATCCACTCTCTTTGCTAAATAGTATTCACTGAAAAAAATATGTCACCATTTATCTACTTATTTATTATTACTATCTATAATTCTGATATTTATATACCTTTTAGTTGTTTCCAAGATTTGGGCATTATAAATATTCCCATTAAGAAAAAAAATTATTCCAAGTATTGTTACATTTATCTTGGCTGTATTCCTAAAAGTGAAAGTACTGGGTCACAGAATGCTTGCATTTTCAACTTTTTTGGATATGTCCAAACACTCATTCCTACTAGTAGTATAATGATAATTCCAATTAATTCACATTTTTGCCAAAACATGTTATCAGCCCTTTACTATCACCCAAACTTGTGTATCTGTAGCGCTATATCATTTTGGTTTTGTTTAAGTTTTGTTGTGACTATTAGGACTGATACATTTTTCATCTATTTATTGGCCATTTGGGAAACCAAGAGCAACTTGATATTGGTCAGTTTCCACTTTTACATTTTGCTATGTCTATTAGGATTGATACATTTTTCATCTGTGTATTGGACATTTGAGAAACCACTAGAATGCTGATATTTGTCATGTTTGAGTTTTGGCTAGAATATTTCATTGGTAGAGTCATGTATTTCCACAAGGTGGCATATATGGAAGATATGTAACTTCTACATATCTCCCTTTTGTGATATTAATGGGCTTTGCTAATCATTGCCTAGATTCATTATTCTAGTGGCAAAGTGATGACATTAAGAATCATTTATACTTGAATTGTAGTTGGAATACTTATTTAAAGAAACTTAAATTTTTCCTCATCAATTATTTGGTTTTCTTGAGGTACTGTTTGTGTAGATAGGTGCTTGAGGTATTAAAAAATCATTTTTATTTAATACTTTTCAAAATAATAAGATAAGTTCCTCAAATAAGATGCTACCTTGGGAGTTCTGATTTCTGAATTTATTTGTCTTCAGCCCCATGAGACGGAAAATACTACCTTTCCCCAGCTTTCTTAGCATATTTCAAAGATAATTAATTAATTTTGAAATGTTTGCTATATTTCAAATCATTGAAGTTATTATTTCATTGAGGCTTAAGTATCTTATCTTTGGCTTATAAGAGATCTTTCAGATTGGAATTTACGTCATTATGACATAATCCCAGTAGTCTTTCTGCATGGCAATTTATTACAAGCTAAATTATACAGTATAAATCTTCTGTTCCAAATTTGGGATCAATCGCTGCCCCTCTCCCACTGCAACATCCTGAAAGAGACTTTTTCCTTTTAGTTACAAAATGCAATCTGATATTATAAGTACTCATTATAAAGGTTTTGATCATCAATTCTAGGTCTTTTTACTGATCTGAACTAGGAATTACTAGAGTTTTTTTTTTAAGTGAAAATATGTTATAGACTCAAACTTACATTCCCAAAACAAATTTAGCACTGGTATTTAAGCTATGTTGTTTAAAATTTGTGATTTTTTCCATTATGCTGATAATTTTTTTATATTATCAATCACAATATAATTATGCTTTGTGTTATTCTAATAGAAATTTACTTGAAATATTTTGTGTGTGTGTATAATTATATGTAAGTTTATGTTAAAAGCTGTTAAGGTAGACGGCATAATGACTTCCCCCTCCCACCAAAATGTTCATGTTCTATTCCCTGGAAACTGTGAACACATTATCTCAAACGGCAAAAGAGACTTTGCAAATGTGACAAGTGGTATAGAACTTGAGATGCTGAGAGTATTCTGGATCATCTAGATGGACCCAGTCTAATCGAATGCATTGTAAAAGTGTAACACCTTTTCATCTGACTCAGAGTGATGAGACAGAAGGTTAGAGGGATGTGACAAGACAAGGACTTGACTCACATTTGTTAGCTTAAAGATAGAGGTAGTTGGCCATAAGCCAAGGTAGGCAACGTCTTCTAGAACCTGGGAACTAGCTTCAGTTTACAGCCAGCAAGAATAGAGCTGCAAGAAACTGAATTTTACCATAAACCTACATGAAAAAGGAAAATGATTTGTCCCTTGGACAACGTGGTTTTTGTCTAGTGAGATTGATACTGAACTTCTGATGTATATAACTATAAGATAAATTCATGCTGTTTTAAGCTACTAAAATTTGGTAATTATTTTATGGCAGCAATAGAAAACAAACATAGTTAACTTCCTTTTTTTCTTCTTTCGAAATAAATTTGAAAAAGATTTAATATTTTCATTTTTGTGTAATTTATTTTTTATATAAAACAGCTCTATAGTTACAAAATTTATGAGATAAGATATGCCCAGATAAGTTTAGTTTGTTTTCCCTCTAGTCTTCCCCTTCTTTCTCATTTATATTCTCAGAGATCTGTATTTTAGCTTTGCAGACTCACGTTTACTTAAGAAAATGCACACACAAAACACACCCATATATATTTCAATAATAAGCTCCATTAGTATGATGTATTATCCAATTCATATATTTTGGATTCAATTTGCTAAAAATTTTAATTAGAACTTTTGCATCTGTGTTCATGGCAGATATTGACCTATATTTATCTTTTCTAGTAGTTTTAGTATCAGGGTATAATGTTGACAAAATAAGTTGGAAAGGCATCCTTTTTAATTTCCTCCAGGAGTTTGTATAAAAATAATATTATTTCTTCCTTAAATGTTCTGGAGAATTCACTAGTGAAGCTTTAGTGTAAAAGGATTTTAAACTCCAAATTTGATTAATAGAGTTAGTTATCTATTTCTTCTGGAATGAGTGTTAATTATTTGTATTTTAAAGGAATTTGTCCATTTCATCGAAATTGTTGAATTTATTGGCATGAAATAGTTCATAATATTCTTATAATCTTTTTAAATAAATAAATTCAGTGGCAATTTTACTTATCTATACTTGTTTACCTTCTCTGTTTTTATTTTTGATCGGTCTGCAGAAGGGTTTATTAATGTTATTGGTCTTTTTCAAAATTTGTTTTTACTGACATTGGCTTTCTCTATCATTTCTCTGTTTTTTTTTATTTAATCAATTTCTAGTTATTTTCCTCTATTTTATTAATATTTAATTGATTCTTTCTCTACATTCTTAAGATTAAAACTGAAGTCACAAAATTGAGATTTTTTTTCAAATATGACTCTTTCATGCCATGAGCCCCATTTCCCAATTACTGCTTAGGCACCATCCCACAAAATTTGATATTCTGTATTTAAATATTTATTTAGTTCAAAATCTTTCTAATATTTCTCTTGACTTAATCTTTAATCTGTAAGTTATTTCAAAGTGCGTTATTTAAAGATTGCTCAGACATCTTTCTGTTACTCAATTCTAATGTAATTAAATTGCAATCAGAGAAAACACTTCGTATAATGTGAATCTATTATATATATAGACATTTGTTTTATGATTTATAAAAACGGTCAGCAAAAAATGTTCTGTAAAGGTCTAGATAGCAAATATTGTATGCTTTTCAAATCATGTATGTACAGTTTCTGTTACATATTCTACTTTTTTAACCGTTTAAAATATAAAAAAACTTGCTTATCTTGTGGTTTTCTAGAATCAGCCATGGGCAGGATTTGGCTTGTGGCTGCTGGCCTAGATATGATCTACTTTGGGAAATATTTCTCATGTACTTGTAATCAATATTCATTCTGTTATTGTTGTTTCGTGTGTTCTATAAATGTCAGTTTCTTCAAGTTGTTTTGGAAATGTTATTTAAGTTTTATATCTCTTCACTGATTTCCTGTCTACCAGTTCTGTTAATTATTGAAAGAAGCATAGTGAAATCTCTGACTATAACTGTGGATTTGTCTATTTACCTCAAAGTTAATATCAGTTTTTGCTTCATGAAGTTTTAAGCCCTGTTATTTGATGTGTGAGCCTTTAAGATCATTGTATTATCTAAATAATTGATCCATCATTGTGAAATGAACCTTTTTCTTTATGATGGCATTTTAAAAATCTGAAGTGTACTTTATCTGGTATTAAAATAGCTACTCTAATATTTTACATTTTGTTTCTTTCTACTTTTATTTAAGATTCTGGGGGTCATGTGCAGGTTTGTTACATAATTAAATTGCATTTTGCTGAGGCTTGGTGTACAAATTATCCCATCACACAGGTAATGAGCACAGTAGCCAATAAGTAGCCTTTCAATCTACCTCCACTCCCACCCTCCCACATCAAGCAGTTCCCAGTGTCTATTGTTCCCATTTTTGTGTCCACGTGTAGTCAAAGTTTATCTTCCACTTATAAGAGAGAACATGCAGTATTTGGCTTTCTGCTTCCACATTAGTAGACTTAGGATAATGATCTCTAGCTACCTCCATGTTGCTAAAAAAGACATGGTTTTGTTCCTTTTATTGCTGCGTAGTATTCCATGGTGAATATGTACCATATTTGTGATTATGTACCATATTCACCATGGAATACTACGCAGCAATAAAAAGTACATGGTGTATGTGTACCATGTCTTTGCTATGGTGAATAGTGCTGAGATGCAATAACAAGTACATGGTGTATATGTACCACATCTTTGCTATAGTGAATAGCACCGTGATGCACATATGAGCAAATGCCTTTTAACTGACTAATGATAACTGTGTGTATATTGATTGTGTACAGTGTGATGTGTTAATATATGTATATATTGTGGAATGATTAAATCAGGCTAATGAACATATCCATCACTTCAAATACTTATTTTTTTGTGGTAAGAACATTTAAAATGTAATCTCTTAGGAATTTTGAAATATACATTATTATTAACTACAGTTGTCAAGCTGTGCAATAGATCTCAAAAATTTATTCCTGTTTTCTCCCTATAACTTTGGACCTTTTAACCAGTATCTCCCCATTTCCCCTATCACTAGCTTCTGGTAACTGTCATTATAGTCTCTATTTCTATGAGTTCAATTTTTTTAAGTTTATGTATAAATAGGGTCTTCCAATATTTGCCGTTTTGCACCTGTCTTATTTCTCTTAGCACAATGTCTCCCAGGCTCATTCATGTGGTTACAAATTATAAAATTTTATTCTTTTATAAGGCTGAATTGTATTGTACATAGACATATATTTCACATTTTCTTTATCTATTCATTCATTGATAGATATTTACATTTATTCTATATCTTGGTTATTTTGAATAATGCTGCAATAAACATGAGTGCAGATATCTGTAACATTTTAATATTAGGAATAGTGTGTGCCTCTTTTTCTTTCCCATTACTTTTAGCTTCCTTGTGACTTCATGTTTAAAATCCATTTATGGTAGACATTCTATAGTTGGCCCTTGTATTTTTATTCAGCCTGTTAATCTGTATTTTAATTATTTTAATTGCATTATTCAAATCATTTATGTTTAATGTTTCTTGATGAGGCAGAAGCTAAATCTATTTTCTTGTTGTTTTCTGTTCAATCTGTTCTTGGTTTCTCTTTTTCTTTTCTGTTTTCTCTTGGCTAAATTGAATACTTTTATTATTTGACTTACTTCATTTGTTGGCTTAGTAGCTAAAACTTAGTTTCATTATGCTAGTGGTTGCATTGTATTCATAGCTCTGTCTTTTTACAATCTATTTTTAAAATATAGTATTTGACTTTACTTATAGCAGTAAAAGCTTATTTTAACTTTTTCCTTTGTACTTTATAATTTTCACACATTTTAATTTTACATATTATAAACTCCACACTTATTTTTATGTAAATAGTGAAATATCTTTTAAAGAGATTGAGAAAGAAATTTGTTTATCACTTTGGTTCTTTATTTATGTACATCCATATTTTCATGGGCTACCATTTCCTTGTGCCTAAAGAACTTTTATTTTATTTTTAAATGTACATCAAGAGCTATTGAATTTTGTTTACATTTAGTATGTCTGAAAAAGCCTCTGATTTGCTTAACTTTTAAAGATAATTTTACTGAATGATGAAATCTTTGTCGGCCGGGTTTTTTTTTTTCTTTTATTAATTTAAAGATGTCTTATTCTCCTTTTAGTTGTGTTGTTTCTGAAGAGAAACCTACTGTCATTCTTATGTTTATTGCTCTCTATATAATCTTGCATTTCTGTAGCTGATTTTAGGATTCTATTTTTGTAACTGGTTCTGAACAACTTGATTATATAGCGCCTTCATGTAGTTTTCTTTATCTTTTGTGCTGGCATTCATCGACCTCTTTGAATCTGTGGGTTTTATTGTGAAATATTTTCAGCTTATTGGGATGCTGGACATTATCCTACAGTTCGCTGATGTTATTTTCATTTTTTTCTATTAAGGTTACTAATCATTTTTTTCCAATGTCTAATCTGCTGTTACCCCCGTCTGCTGTATTTATTTTTAGGCTAATCTAGGGCTGACTGTAACAATATTTGTTTTAGTCTTGTTAGAGTATAATATTATTTGTATGAATGTATTACAACTCATTTATCAATTCTGAAATATGATCTGCTATTTTTCTACCTTACTTTTTTCTCTTAGTAAGATATTATGAACACTTTTCCTCAAAAGTCACTAAAATTAACCTTATACATTTTACTCTTGCATGATATTTCAATAGTTTCCTGGTCTATTTTCTTTTTTGCTTTGTGTTTTTATTCATTTATTTATATTTTTAAGGTCTCTCACTAGGTTATCACAACTTGGCAAACTATTCCTTCCACAGAATTATAACCCCACATTCTCGGACTTTATATGTCTGAATGAACATTAATACACGTTATTATTATGGCACTTAACATATTTAAAAGGTATAAAGTATTCAAATATTAAGACAGTTTAAATGGCAGACAAAATGTTAAATTCTTACTAAATTTATTAGCAAAAATCGATTCCTCTTTTTTACAAGAGTGATTTGGAAGAAAAGTGAAAAAAAATCACAGTTCACACACTATTTGGTAAATAACTTACACCAAATATGGGGAAAAATACCGGATTTTAAGAAATTAAATGATAATTGTTTTAGTTACAGTAAAAAAGCACCTCTATCTTTCAAAAATATTTAATAGGTTAAAGGGCATGTTTTTATGCATTTTGCACAAAACAAAGACAACATTTTACTCAAAGTATTTGTTAGCCTCCATCCCATTTTAAATTTTTTTTTTTTCTGTAAAATTGCACCACAAAGTGCAAACATCAAAGCTTTTTTATTCTGGAAACATTAAAGGCATGTGGTTCTGTACATTGTGGATTTCACATAAACTTTCAAACAGATGTTGTGATTTTTTTTAATGCAGGTTTCCTAAGACCACAAAATGAGGTATTTAGAAAGACATTAAATGATAACTGTGAAATTGATGGAAATCCAAGAAATCAATGGTTGCACTTACCTCATTATTTACAATTACAAATGTGGTAGATGTAAATATAAAGTGAGTAAGTCACCAATAGACTCCATTTTCAATGTTTAAAGTGAGACCTAGAGTGTTGTATATAGTTCTTAAGATCTTCATCATTTATAATACTAAATACATACAAGGTGTTTTGCTGGTTATTTTGTCACCTAATATTGCTAAATTTCTTATGTATTCATAAGATTCTGCTATGAGAATATGTTTGAAGAAATCATAATAAAACAACTCATTTTAGAAAAGGTCAATTGATAGCAAGGATAAACACATTTGAAAACTGGAGGACCAATAATTTTTGCTAAGTGTCCAAATCACATAGTAACCCAAACATAGTGTTATATAGCTAGCACATAGTAAGTATAAAATAATTATGTGTTGCATCAATAAGTAACACACACACCTTACCTAGAAACTAGCTGCTCTGCCAAATTCGAGGTAATAGTACAGAAGAAGGCAGGGACTAGATACTAGAAATAAAGCAAAACTATTCAGTTGTAACAGGAGAAAAAATACAAGGGCCTAGATATAAAATAAAGATATAAGGGCAGAGTACTACTGACTAAGAATAACCATACCCTGAAAGTATCTACTGTTGTTAGACATTACTCCCCATTAATGACTTCTATCTTACTCTTTTTGTTTCTCATCTATTAGGATAATTTAGACTTATAACAAATAGTTCTTTTCTGACTTTATCAACCCAAACTTGCTATTTTCCTACATACACTTCTGGCATTACTCTCTGGGATTTCAATACCCACAGAGGTAGTTCCTCCAAAAAGCTCAAAAATAGTTTTCTTCTTTCCATAGCCTATCTAGGTGGTCACACCATAATTTTTTTTTTAACCTACAGAATTTCAATACCAATTAGCTCATTTTCTCACAACTATCTTCTATTTTTTCTTCTTATTCAGAACCCTGCATTCCAAAACTTCTTCAACTGAAGTTAAGAGTTCCTATTCATTGATTCTGCAATTGCCCCCAATACCCATGGCCTGCCCACAAGCCCTCACAGCCCCATTACTAACTCTAACTCCATAGTATATTCATATACTTGCTCCTTTGGAGGTAATTTAGCTCTTTTGTATACCTGGCAGCATTTCAATCTAGCCTACTCCTCAATTGCACACATAGGCTGAATAATCGCAATACTGATATATAACTCAAACACTAGTTAAATCAGACTACTTTTTTTTTTCTTGCCTGAGCACAAGAACTAACGAAGAAAGTTTAGAGGGAGGTGGAGGAAGAACGCTTTGAATGTTTTTACTCTAAGATAATGACCGCACGCTTTAGATGGGCATTTGAAACTGCCTGAGTAATCTACTAATTTACTATTCAATTCCCTGGACCAATCAATTTTTTACCTTCACATTTTGCTTTCAACCTTACCACTTCCATGATCACTTTAAATTGATGGCCTTATCTCACTTTTATTTTGAGAAATACAAGAGGTAAAATAAAAACTTTCTATTTTTCCCTTAATTGCTTTACAAAACTGTCTGCATCATTATCTGTATTCTTGTTCTTATTCCTAGTTACTTTGAGATAAATGTTCTTAGTCAATCAAAAGTAAAACCCGTAACTCACAGTTGCAATGTTACACTCTCTTGACTTTTTGAGACTTATTCTTAGAGCTATTCACACTTTTCCTTTTGCATCACCAAAATCTCCCTCTCTCCTAAATTATTCTCATCGGGATATAACCATACTATATGAACTTTCCATGATTTCAAACCCAAACAAAATCAAAACCCTTTTGTGATCGGTTGTTTCCTCAATCTATTGCTCTGTTTTATTTATTTTATTATCTATAGAAAACCTTTTTGGAACAAATGTCTAAAATTGATATTTGCACTTCCTCACTGCCCATTTATTCTCAGATCCAATTTAATCTTAGTGTCATCCTCACTCCTTCATTGAAACTGTTACTTCATTGTCTTTGACAACCTTTTTGTAGCCAGAGATAACAGCACCTTTTTCCTTCATTTACTTGAAGTTTTAGTAGCTGTTTATTTCATTAACCGTTGAAATAAATCTCTCAATTTGGAGAAACAACCCTGTCTTTAGCAGCCTCCTACTTTAGAGTAAACTCATTCTTAATACCCCATTTACTGACTAATTCCTTTTTTTCTATCCATCCTCTAAATGTTGAGTAAAGAACCATGTCTAAATCCAAGTATTTGAGGCATAACACTGGAGGTTTCTTTTTTTCTATTTTGATCTTCTAATTAGATTTTCTCTTATCAATGGGGCTCATGATCAATCAATTTATTAGTAAAAAATTTGGAATAAACTTTAATTTCTCTCTTTCCCTCAACTTGATTTTCAAACTCATCAATGAATTCTAACAACTTTCTCTCACAATAAATCTGATTTATCCACTTATTTATCAGTAAGATGCCTGTACCTTACTAAGTTTACCTTTACTGTGTAGCAACATACTGTAATCACTTTGTAACTAGCTTTCATTTTTCATTTTGCATCACCAATCCACACCACACACATCAATCCATACTACACACACAAAAAGTTGACTTTTCAAAACATACTCAGCTCTGGCTGGGGACAGTGGCTCACACCTGTAATCCCAGCACTTTGGGAGGCCAAGGCGGGTGGATCACGAGGTGAGGAGATTGAGACCATCTTGGCTAACATGGTGAAACCCTTTGTCTACTAAAAAAAAAAAAAAAAAAAAAAAAAAAAAAAAAAAAAAAAAAAAAAAATTAGCCGGGCATGGTGGCGGGCGCCTGTAGTCCCAGCTACTCAGGAGGCTGAGGCAGGAGAATGGCGTGAACTTGGGAGACAGAGCTTGCAGTGAGTCGAGATCAGCCACTACTCTCCAGCCTGGGCAACAGAGCGAGACTCGGTCTAAAAAACAAAAACAAAACAAAACAAAACAAAACAAAAAACACATACTTAGCTCTTATTATATGATTGTGTCATTGCTTAAAATTCTCCAACCTCTTAACTATGATTTTAAATGCCCTCCTTTATTTCATCCTTTCCTACACTTCTGATCTTTTCTATGCCATTTTCATTTTTACAAAGACCTTGACACCAGCTTTGTTTTTCTACCATGAATTGTGCGAAGGCTTTCTCGCTCAGAACCTGTGCATTTGCTATTTTCTTTGCCTGAACAACTCCTCCCCAGCCTCGCAGTTTGTTATTTTCCTCATCTTGGCTCAAAATATATCATCTCATAGAGTCCATTTTTGATTATCCAAACTATATAATAGTAATTTTTTCAGTCACTTCCTTTGTCATCATTGTGAATATTTAATCCATAGCAATAATAATCATTTTAACATACAATGTTCCAGAATTTAAGTCTCATAGGACTGGATTTATTGTTTCTTGTTTCCCCAGAGTATCATATTTTATGTCTTTAAGTAGGTGTTCAGTAAGGATTTGGTGATTTATTAATGATATTAATGAGATTTGTAACTAACAGCTGCCATAAACTTTCCAGAGACCATAGAAAATTCATTAAGACCTTTGAATGAAGCTTAATTTGCCCCAATTCAGGGGACTGGAAGGGAATTAGATGACTCTATTAGACACATGATAATTTTGGGGATATATATTATCTTCTGGTTACCTAAGTGGGGTAAAAATATGGGTAATTAAACTTTAAAGATAGCTTGCTCATTGACTACTTTGGTTTCTAGAAAAGTTCCTAAAATATTGATTAATGAATGGAAACTGGGGAAACTTACTTCATAATATGATGATAGCATTAAAATTAAAGAACAAGTAATGAGAAAAGAAAGAATGAAGCAAAACCAAGAGATATGAAAATCATTTCTGGAAATTTAAGTGAAACTTGTAATCATATCAAAAGGAAAGAATGGCCAGAAAATATATGAAGTCCTTCAAAAAACCTTAACTTCCTTATCTGGAAGAGCAGTTTTGATGTAATATCAGAAGAAGTGAATCTGAAATTTAAAATAGTATGTTAAATTAGGACACATTTTGTACTGTTTTCAATGGGACCACAAAAGGCTGAGAACCAAACAATAAACACAGAAAAAAAGAGAAAAACAACATGCTTTTTAAACATCACAGGTCATCATGATGACTTTTCTGAAAAAGAAACAATATGAAAATAAAAACTCTCAACTTGATAGTATATACAGAGAGTGAAGTTGAAGAGACTAACATTTGGAAATGGAAGAAAAATTTTCTTAAAAAAATTAAATTGCATTTTGTTTATCTAATTCCATGGATAAGTAAAAGAGTAGTCCTTTCTCAAGTCTAGTCTCATGAAAATGACTTTAAGGTGACTATGCATAGCTTATCCTATGTCCCCTGACACTGTGGGACACAGGAGTGAATGCTAAACTTATGTATAAAAAAGTAAGACATCCTGACAGCAGAACATGATTGGATGGATTGGAAACAGCCTGTATTCTCAGAGTTTATCAAGGCAAAGAATGTTTGGATGTTTCCTATAAACCATGAAAGATTAAGGCAGTCAAGAGCTCCTTAAAAGGAAATCTCTAGTGTGAAATATGAAGCAAAAGGTTTATTTGTTGACTTGTTTTTAGTGAACCTCCACTATTTATTGAAAATGCTATCTTTTATCAGCTGAATTCCTTTTGCACCTTTGTCAAAATCAACTGGCCACTTAAGCATTTGGCTATTTCTAGACTCTATTCTGCCTTGTTAATATATTTTGCCCATTTTAGCATCAATTCAACACTATATTATTGCGGCTTTATAACTCTTAAACATAATACACATGTAAACAACAGAATACACATTACTGTCATCACCACATGGAATGTACTCTAAGATCAATAACACAATCAGATATAAAACAATCCTCAGCAAAGCAAAAGGACTGAAATTATATCAAACACACTCTTGGACAACAGCACAATAAAGATAGAAATCAAGACTAAAACTGTCACCCAAAATCATGCTGTTATATGGAATTTAACAACTTGTTTCTGAGTGACTTTTGGGTAAATGATGAAATTAAGGGAGAAATGAAGTTCTTTGAAACTAATGAGAAAAATTATAGAGCATACCAGAATCACTGGAACACAGGTAAGGCAGTGTTAATGAGAAATTTATAGCACAATCAGGAGCAAAATCCCATTCACACTTACCACAAAAAGAATAAAATACCTAAGTATACAGCTAACCAGGGATGTGAACCATTTCTACAATGAGAATTATAAAAAACTGCTCAAATAAATCAGGGATGACACAAATGGAAAAGCCTTCCATGCTTATGTACAGGAAGATGCAATATTGTTAAACTGGTCCTATTACCCAAAGCAATTTGCAGATTGATTTCTATTCCTATTAAGCAACCAATGATATTCTTCACAGAAATAGAAAAAAACAGCTATTTTAAAATTCATATAGAACAGTAATAACAACAAAAAGAATGCAAATAGCTAAGGCAATCAGTACACATAAAGAACAAAGCTGGAGGCATTATGTTACCTGACTTCAAACTATATTGTAAGGCTACAGTAACCAAAACAGCATGGTACTGATACAAAAACAGGCACATAGACAAATGAAACAGAATAGAGAACCCATAAATAAGACTGCACACTTACAACTATCTGATCTTTGATAAAGCCAACAAAAAACAAGCAATGGGGAAAGGACTCCCTTTTCAATAAACAGTGCTGAGATAACTGGCTAGCCATATGCGGAAGATTGAAACTGTACCCCTTCATTTCACCACATACAAAAATCAAGTCAAGATGGATTAAACACTTAAACATGTAAAACCCCGAGCTATAGAACCCTGGAGGAAAATCTAGGCAATACCATCCTGGACTTAGGAATGGGCACAGTTTATATAAATTCAATTTCTGATTGGTTATTGATATTACTTACAAAATAATGGATTTTTATAAAAATCGGCTTGTATTCTATATGCTGTTAAACTCACCTAATAATTCTACAATATTCGAATGGAATCTCCAGGATCTTCTGCATGTGTGATGATGTTATCTGCAAACAAAGACAGCTTCTTCTTATTTTTCAATGTGGATGGCTTATATTTATTTTCCCACCTCATTTGTTAGTGAAACTGGATACAAGTATACATAAAACTGAATAAAAGTGGTGAGAAATTGTTATGGAATAATTGTCCAGTCTCTTACTGTTAATTATGACATTAGCTCAAAAAAAAAAGAAACTTTTTAACTGAAGAAATCTGTAACTTTCTATCCTTCTGCACTAATCCATTGTGACCATAAAGTGACTAATATTTGAGGGGTGACAAAGTAAATAGATGATATTAACAATATGACATTTCCTATCAATTATGTCAACCATTGACCCAAAAATCATTGAAAACTTTACTGTTGAAGAATTTCTTCTCCAGATTTTATGTGAGTTCACTGGATTAGACCATTACTATTTTTTTTATATGAGGTCACTGGATTACTCCCATGATCTCATATAAAAAAAGTTGATGTTGGGCAACTTTGGATTGTATGAGGACACCAGTCAAAGCCAAAAGGCAGAAAGCCTTTTGAGGTTCTGCAAACTTTTTGCAGTAGATAAGAGTCTATATTCACTTGTTGTATATTTGCTCTCATTAATAAAAAACCTGGATTTTCTGAGACTAGTCCAGGAGCACTACATAGCACTACAGCTATGTCTGTGGTAGTTACTTTATATAGAGGTGGTTTAATAATAATTTGTAATATTACAAAGCCAAAGTAGGTTTTAATAATTCTGAATTGAACTATAAAATGTTCAATGATTTTCTATGATTTTTCTCTTTTCCTCATTTAAAGTTATGTTTTCTAAATAATTATCTCCATAAAATTTTGCAAATTAAAAATATAAATGTTAGGTTGGTATTATTAAAACATAAAATAATCTGCTGTTATATCACTCGAAGGTAATAATAATACTTCCTAAATGACATATGGTAAAACTCTTTCAGCAAAAACATGATTTTTCCCAGAAAATTAACATTTTATAGCCAAATATGATGTTTTAGGAGGAAATAAATGTGTTAAATCTTGATACTTTTATTTATTGTAATATTTGGTAACTTCTTTTTTTCATGGTAGCTAAATACTTGAGTGTAATATTCATAAATATTCGCTATTTCTTCATAGCAACATTATGCTCATGATCGTAATATTTAGCTTAGTAATGAAATAGATACATACCAATATCACATTTTCACGTCTATCTCAGGATTTTTTAAAATAAATAATTCTTATAGATTCATGCACTGGTCCATTGTAAGATGCTATAAAATTTATAAAAGCTAGGAGGTAGTAGTCCACAATATGTTACATTTGTGAAATATATTTTATTAAAATTTAGTTTTATCTCTGAGAAAAACTATTCATTATGATCTAAAATACAAAGGCTTTATATTATGTCTTCACTTGTTCAAGTTGCTATAACAAAACAACTTAGACTGGGTAATTTGTAAACAAGAGCAATTTATTGCTTACAGCTCTGGAGGATGGAATCTCTTCGATCAAGATGTCAGCAGATTCAGTATGGGCTGAGGCCTAATTCTCTGCTTCAAAGATGGCATCTTCTTGCTATGTTCTCATACGCTAGAAGGGACAAACAAGTTTTCCAAGCCTCTTTTATAAGGCACTAATCTCACTTATGAAGCTTCTTCCCTCACGACCTAAACTCCCAGATACTCCACCTTCCAAAATCACTATACTGAGGATTAAGTTTCATTAAATGAATTTTAAAGGAGACACAGTCTTTTAGACCATAGCATTTCATATGATAGCAAGATTAAATTTTTGCATTACCTAAGTTCTTTGCCTTGTATAATAATATTTATCAGGCATAAGAGTAAGAAAGAAAAGAGAGAAGAATCAAATAGACACAATAAAAAAATGATAAAGGGGATATCACTACTGACCCCACAGAAATTTAAACTACCATCAGAGAATACTGTAAACGCTTCTACTCAAATAAACTAGAAAATCTAGAAGAAATGGATACATTCTTGGACACATACACACTTCCAAGGCTAACCCAGTAAGAAGTCAAATCCCTGAACACACTAATAACAAGTTCTGAAATTGAGGCAGTAATTAATAGCCAACCAACCAAAAAAAGCTGAGGACCAGAAAGATTCATAGCTAAATTCTAACAGAGATAAAAAGAAGAGCTGGTACCAACCTTCTGAAACTATTTCAAACAATTGAAAGGGAGGGACTTCTCCTGAACTCATTTTATGAGGCCAGCATCACCCTGATACCAAAACTTGGCAGAGACACAACAAAAAAAGAAAACTTCAGGCCAATATCCCTGATGAACATCAATGAAAATCTCCTCAATAAAATATTGGCAAACCAAATCCAACAGCACATCAAAAAGCTTATCCACCATGATCAAGTTGGCTTCATCCCAGGAATGCAAGGCTGGTTCAACATATGCAAATCAATAAAGGTAATCCACCACATAAACAGAACCAATGACAAAAACCACATGGTTATCTCAATAGATGCAGAAATGTCCTTTGATAAAATTCAACATTGCTTCATGTTAAAAACTCTCAGTAAACTAGGTATCGATGAAATACATCTCAAAACAATAAGAGCTATTTATGACAAACCCATAGCCAATATCATACTGAATGGGCAAAACTTGGGAGCATTCCCTTTGAAAACCAGCACAAGACAAGGATGCCCCCTCTCACTACTCCTATTCAACATATTATTGGAAGTTCTGGCCAGGGCAATCAGACAGGAGAAAGAAATAAAGAGTATTCAAATAGGAGGAGAGGAAGTCAAGTTGTCTGTTTGCAGATGACATGATTCTATATTAAGAAAACCACATAGTCTCAGCCCAAAAACTCCTTAAGCTGTTAAGCAATTTAAAGCAAAGTCTCAGGATACAAAATCAATTTGCAAAAATTCACAAGCATTAATATACACCAACAATAGACAAGCAGAGAACCAAATCATGAATGAACTCCCATTCACAATTGCTCTAAAGAGAATAAAATACCTAGGGATACAGCTAACAAGGGATGTGAAGGACCTCTTCAAGGAGAACTAAAAACCACTACTCAAGGAAATAAGAGAGGACACAAACCAATGAAAAAATATTCCATGCTCATGGATAGAAAGAATCAATATCATGAAAATGACCATACTGCCCCAAGTAATTTATAGATTTAATGCTATTCCCATCAAACTACCACTGATATTCTTCACAGAATTAGAAAAAATTACTTTACATTTCATATGGAACCAAAAAAGAGCCTGCATAGCCAAGACAATCCTAAACAAAGAGAACAAAGCTGGAGGCATCACACTACCTGACTCCTCTTTCCTCTTTCTAACACATTTTGTCTATGATTCATTCATACTGCATTGTGTTCTCCTCTGTCTGCTCACTCAATTTGATTCATTTATTCATTCATTCATTCACCTACCCATTCATTCATAAAACATTCATATTTACTACCTACCTATTCGCCTTTTCTCCTGAGACTTTATTCCTAAATCTGATATTTAACACAATAATTTAAACATTACATTAGCTTTGTCTTCATTCTTATATTTTTAGAAATAGAGTAGCTTTTTTGTAGAAATGTCTCCTAAAATACAGTTTTATGCTTCAGAGGAAGAAATTAATTATGAGAAAAGATAAAATATATTTGAATGCTATTTAAAAATTCATTTTTGAAAACCAGTGCCCAATAAAAATTTATATGATTCCAACCTGAGAGAGAAGTAATATTATTTAGCCTTGCACCTTCTCCATCAAGAGTGATTTGTGCTGAGATGAACTAGAAGAGAGGCCTTCAAGTACCAAGATTTATCTTAGTTGGATGCACTATCCAAACAGGTCTTTAAAAGTAGCTTATATTTATTGATCATTAACTATGCCAGGCACTGTGAATAACTTAAAACAACTTTTAAATAGTCTTTTAAGTGAGTTGCCACTTTTAACCATATTTTGCACATAAGGAACAAGACTCAAACTGGTTGAGAAGCTTTCCCATGGACATACGGTTAGTGAGTGCTTAGATCTGAACCCAGGTCATTCCACCACACTCTTAGTCAATTTGCTGTGTTATCTCCTCAATTCATTGACGGTTCCCAGAATCCTCAAATCTCTCTTTCTAGCTTTGATTGTAACTTCTTGATTATCTTGCTGTATGAACTTGAGCCTCCTTTTTTAGACCTGCTGTTTTGTGGATTTATTAGCATTATAATTTCTCTCATGTCTTTAGCTACTAATCCCCTATTCTCTTCACCTCTCAAAACTATCAAACTAACCAGAACAATTGGAATTTGGAAAGTTCAAGGATTCTTATCTAACCTAGAGGGCAATTCATTATTGGTAGTAGCATAGCAGAATTCTTTATAAAAATAGATGCTTGAAGAAATATATTACAAAGCTTTTCATATTTATTCCAGGAAGGAAGGGCAGACCCCTCATGAAGGAACACTTATTAGCACAGATCTATTTCACTCACAGTAAGTAGGGCTCAAATAACTAATAATTTTTGGTTAAGCTGCTTGCATATTTCTTTAATTTTTTTTTTCAAAATATTGAGAGAATAGAGCCTGTTTTTTTCTTCCCTTTTAGGATTATACAAACTTAACTACATGGAATGTGACAGAAAACTACATGCTGTTTCTTTATATTTCTTCATGAGGCCAATAAACCTCTCTGTATATCTAGTCTCTGAAAAGCCTTATTTATTAATAATTTCCTGAAGTCATGATAAAATCAAGACTACGATTAACCTCAGGTTATATAGCTATTGATGTTCTTTGATGTTTCTCTGGAAAATATTTTCATTTTTAGCATGAGGAAATATATTATTTACCTCTACTTTAGAGACTTCTTTACCATGTGCCATTGATAGATTTTTCTCCCTTCTGTATCCTTAAGCCTTTTTTATACAGAAGACCTTGTGCTATGATGGTCATCACATTATAAATACTTAAGAAAGAACAAGCAAATCAAATCAAACCTATACAAAAAAATTGGACAGATTGTGCCTATTTCCCTTTTTCTAGTGACATAGTAATTAACTCTCTTCATTTTTGGTGTACTTATTTATATTATAATGTTTACATATTAAAGACAATTTGGATAATAACAAAATATAAATAAAAAAACACCACTCAGTCACAAGCATGATTCATATTTCAGAATATCAGTTTCAAATTTTTCTAGGCATAGCCTAATTCAGTTTTAATCATATAATCCTGTGATGACATATAATCATAAATACATTTTAATCATAAAATTACAAATTACTTATCTGTCACTTTATAGCCTCAATGCACGTAAATAGTTCCACTATTTCAAATAACACTTTTAAGATAATTTCTTGTATTTGATATTATTTCCTTGGTCTTAGACTCAGAAGTAAAACTTTTAGAGCAAAAGAAATGTCTCTGAGCCAGTGTTTAGGGCATTTCATGGTTCTATTAAGACAAACTCCCTTATATTACAAATGGGACAATAACCAGGCCCTGTAAAACACGTTCCTTTTTCTGAGGCAATGTTGTGCAAAATATTATGTCTTTCTTAATTCCTTGGATGATGGTGAAGGTAAAAGCATTGCAGACAGAAAAAAAAATCACATTGCCAGAGTATATGTCAATTCCAGTAAGGATGTGTTGTGGTCCATAGAGGGTGAAAAGGATCTGATGAAATAAACAGTCATATATTTGATAGTAACACATTAAGAGCACAGAGTTGATTTCTGCTTTGAGAAAGTTAGATATTCAGCAGTGGTAGACGTGGAATAAGTGGTCAGGAGTAGAGGGCCCATAATATGGATACCCAAAAGAGCTTTCATACACTCCTCCAAAGCCATCTGTTCAGTGCTCATTTTGCCCTGACTGGAGTTCTTGAGAAGAGAGGCTGGGTGAAATCTACTTGGTTGTTGAGTATCTCCTGTGGCTAATTTCTGATGGGCATTAACACGACACCAAAAGATCTGCACAACCTGGTTTACTCCCATAGGTCTATGCACATTCAACTGCCCCAGACTACTTTGTCTCTGATCTTCCAGGATTGCTCCTTCCAGATGCCTAACCAACCAACAGTCATTCACAGCTGGTAAGGTATTTATGTGTCTGTTCTTCAGGCTGCTTTTCCCTTTAAATTGTACTCTTTGGAGGTCTGCCATTCCTCTCCTTTATCTCAGTGATTTAAGATCGCTTACAAGTTTATAGCTAATACCAACATATTACACTGGCAGCCTGTGATTCAAGCTTGAGGTTTTTCCCCCTCTGCCAGTTGCTCATAGGGAACTCCCCTTAACACCTAAGTATAAGCTGAGGGAGAGGCTGTGGTACAATAGAAGAAAGAGTCAAGGGAACGCCAAAAATTTTATTAATTAACTAATTAACTTGGCTCTGCCGTAGCCTATACTTGAGTGTATGTTTCCACTTTGGAGTGTTTAGCTGCTGTGCCCGCCTGGCCTTATGACTCAACGAATCTGATAATATGAAACTCATTATGAGCAGTTCTATATTCTTTGTTCAGGCCTTCAGTCACTCTAAGGGCTCTAGAATAAATTATTTTTGAAAGCTGAAAATGTTTTGTGTGTGTGTGTGTGTGTGTGTGTGTGTGTGGCATGATGATCAGAATTCCGGGAAACTAGGAAGAGAATTTCATGCAGACTACCAGATATTCCATACAGCATTATTATTTGCCACTTATTATTTTAGCTCCATCAGGTTTGCTGGATAATATGACCTAAGTTGTCAAGAAACTTGCACTATAGCTTGTAATTGCAGCTAAGCCCTCTTATAATCTTAGGTCCTAACTTGAAGTCTGCAGACTACTCTAATATTATATCAGAAATATATTTCCAGGTATGAAATATGGTGCCTCCAATCTGTATGGGTCTTACAGTGTGCTCTCTTTCTTAGTGGTAGGTGTTGAGAATTACAGAGGCCCACCAAACTCTCCACCTAATCCCAGTTCTTGGCATCCTACTTTTAAAAATGTCCAAGTCCTACGTATGACATAAATAACCTGACAAAGCTGTAATTCTAGCATTCTTTACATCCTTCTGCTTTTACAATTAGACCTTGGCTCCAATTTTCCCGATGAATATTCCTAAATGTTTCTATGTGAGTCCTGTATGTTTCACGGCAGGCCTTGAGGTGATATTTGGCTGATCTGAACTTAAAATTTTCTCTTCTAAAACTTACTAAATGGTTAATTACAAAGCCTTCTAATTAAAAAATTCTTTATTTCTGAGACATGTCCTCACTGTGTCACCCAGGTTGGAATTCAGCGGCATGATCATAGCTCACTGTAGCTTTGACCTCCCAGGCTCAAGAGATCCTCCTGCTTCAGCCTCCTAAGTAACTGGGACCACATGCTTGCTTCAACATGCCCAGCTAATTTTTTTTTTTTGTTATCATTTGTAGAGATGGGCCCTCCCTATGTTTCTCAGGCTGGTCTCAGACTCCTGGGCCAAAATAATCCTCCTGCCTTGGCCTCCCAAATTGCTGAGATTACAAGTATGAGCCACCACATCCAGCCAACAATTCTTGTAGTATTTCTTAAAATTCTTTAAGTATCACAACCTCATAACTACCCAGTAACCTACTCTTCACCTATATATATACATTATCCCAACCTGCAAGATGGGATTTATGGTAATTGCAATGGTGTTGGGACTGGGGGTTTTTCCCATCTCTATTATAATTAGCAATGGGGTCATTATTTTCATCTGATGGATGTGTATTCTAGCTCTAAAATATTATTATTGCAAAGGCTTGCATTCTAGGCATATTTCTATGTACTTTCTCAGTCTGGGTTTTCCCACAAGTCGAAACTATGACAGCTGCTACTGAAAAGAGTTTATTTAGAAGTTACCTTATATTCCCATGTGAGGTATAAAGGCAATGACAAAGAGGAGGGAAAGGCAATCAAAAGGTACATTGTTAAATTGGCCACAGTTATTCACTTTTATTGTTTTTGCAAGAGATGTTGTTTGACTATGTTGTCCAGGTTGGACTCAAATTTCTGAGATCAAGCAATTCTTCCTGTTCAGCCTCCGGAGTAGTTGGTCTACAGGTGCACACCATCAAACCCATCTCCCTAGGACTCTTTGATGAGCCTTATGCAATAGTTCTCAGAGCTGTTTTCCAGGGAAACAAAAGTAAGCGTTCATCCTTTTGCTCCCACCCTGCATTTGTCAAGAGTAGTCTTTTCACAGGCAGTATTAATTATCTGATTTCCAGATTTCTCATGCCTGAGGAAGAAATATTCCTCAGACATGTTACTGCTCAAAGGCAGTCACGAAGAACTATGAATGTCTTGTGTGGATCTAGTGGAAATCAACACAGAACTGGCTTGTATATGGGCTAACACCCTAAAGATTTGAAGTGACAGGCACAGATGAACTTATTCTTTTAGTCGCCCCTCCCTTATGGAGAACACAATAAAAATGCTAATAGCAACTCTTGTTTTCTAATTTTGTTTTCTTCCTTTTTAAAAATTTCATGCCGTTATAACTTTCATTTCTTTTCTTTTTGCAATTTTCATTTGAAGAAAAACAGTAGCATTTGCTATGAGCTCTGTGGAAACCAATGGGTGCAAGAATTTAAAGATTTAAGGTGGCATATGGAGAAAAGTTATTAAAAATTATGTAAATAATGTAATTTATAATATATATTCAGTTCCTTACAGATATATCTTGCTAGCCTATTTTCCTTCTAGTACATGTAGCATAAGCACGTTTATTTTTATACATTTTGATCCAGCTGAGGTTCAAACTGAGTTCTTATTTTGCTTCTCTTTCCTTGCAGAACTGCTGTGAGGACTCAAAAATTCTTATTTCTACTTGTCCTCTGTAATTCCTGATGATCATTTCTGTGTCGTCATCTTATACATTACCTGGTAACAAAGAGTCTTCATTCAGCCTTCATCATAACACCCTCCGTTCTTGAAACAATTTTAATACTCTCATTTTATAAGCAAGACATGATTATTCAAAGGAGATAAATAATCTATATGAAGTCAAACTGTAAATTACCTGTGTAGCCAAGAAAAAACATTATTATTATTGGTTTTCAAGGAAGTCAATATTATACTTTATTCAATAAAAATTGTTAATACTGATCTGTAGCCACAGTGAAATCAATTGTAACTCTACAAAGAAGAAAATAAAATTAATTTAGTACTTTTGTGATTTAGTTTCCTTATTGGTGGGTGGAAAGATAGAAAATGAGATAGCTTCAATAAATGATCCCTGAGATCCACTTCAAATCTAATATTCTGTAATTCTAAGTAAACCATGACCTTTTTATTACAAGTACTCTGTTCTCTCTGATATTGACCCTGATTAATAAACCGATCATTCCATCCTTAGCCATGATTATAGTCAAAGCTCTTTTTGGTGAAAATATTAGAAACCCATTCCAATTATCTTAAGCAAGGGGTGGTAGGGAGAGGAAATTGATTTTCAGCATATTAGTTTATCCACATGAAATATGATGGCAGGAATCAGAGTTAAGCCTCATTAGGAACAGAAATCAGGAACTTGAATTAGCAAATGAGATTGCCCTCTATTAGTTCTGGGCCACACTGATCTCTTTGCTTTGCCTTTCTCCAGACATGTATTTCATTCTTTTCCCTTGACACATGGATTATTTTGGATTTTAACAAGCTAACAGGCAAGTAACTATCTCAGCCCAACTTTGTCACACTTATCAGTTTAAGTGTATACTAGAGAAATGCTGAAATTGCTGTCCCAACTCCAAATTTATGGAATAAGTTTAGGATTGATCTAACATTAACCATGTGTCTAAAAATTTCAACTGTGAGATGGGGCAAATCTCATAGTACAGACCTACTTCCAAGGTAGAAACAGGTGTTCTTAGGACAAAGAGTTTTTTTAAAAGCTTGGAAAGTGTGGGTTTTACATTTAAGTGGGTCTTCAATCCATCTTGAGTTCATTTTTGTACAAGGTGTAAGGAAGGGGTCCAGTTTCAGTTTTCTGTATATGGCTAGCCAGTTTCCCAAAACCATTTAATAAATAGGGAATCCTTTCTCCATTGCTTGTTTTTGTCAGGTTTGTCGAAGATCAGGTGGTTGTAGATGTGTAGTGTTACTTCTGAGGTCTCTGTTCTGTTCCATTAATCTATGTCTATTTTGGTACCAGTACCATGCCATTTTTGTTACTTTGGACTTATAGTATAGTTTGCAGTCAGGTAGTGTGATGCCTCCAGCTTTGTTCTTTTTGATTAGGATTGTATTGGCCATACAGTCTCCTTTTTGGTTCCATATGAAGTTTAAAGTAGTTTTTTTTTTGTTTTAATTCTGTGAAAAATGTCATTGGTAGTTTGATGGGAATAACATTGAATCTATAAATTACTTTGGGCAGTATGGCATTTTCGTGATACTAATTCTTCCTATCCATATGTTTGTGTCCTCTCTTATTTCCTGAGCAGTGGTTTGTTGTTCTTCTTGAAGAGGGCCTTCACATCCCTTGTTAGCTCTATCCCTAGGTATTTTATTCTCTTTGGAGCAATTGTGAATGGGAGTTCATTCATGATTTGGTTCTCTGCTTGTCTATTGTTGGTGTATATGAATGCTTGTGAATTTTTGCACATTGATTTTGTATCCTGAGACTTTGCTGAAGTTGCTTAACAGCTTAAGGAGTTTTTGGGCTGAGATGCTGGGGTTTTCTAAATATAGAATCATGTCATTTGCAAACAGAGACAATTTGACTTCCTCTTTTCCTATTTGAATATTTTATTTCTCTAGCCTGATTTCCTTAAAAACCCTAGAAGAAAACCTAGGCAATACCATTCAGGCATGGGCAAAGACTTCATGACTAAAACACCAAAAGCAATTGCAACAAAAGCCAAAATTGACAAATGGGATCTAATTAAACTAAAGAGCTTCTGCACAGCAAAAGAAACACATCAGAGTGAACAGACAACCTGCAGAATGGGAGTACATTTTTGCAATCTACCCATCTGACAAATGTCTAATATCCAGAATCTACAAGAAACCTAAACAAATTTACAAGAAAAAAACAACCCCATCAAAAAGTGGGCAAAGGATATGAACAGACACTTCTCAAAAGAAGGCATTTATGTGGCCAAAAAACATGAGAAAAGCTAATCTTCATTGATCATTAGAGAAATGCAAATCCAAACCATAATGAGATACCATCTCATGCCCATTAGAATGGCGATTATTAAAAAGTCTAGAAACAATAGGTGCTGGCGAGGCTGTGGAGAAATAGGAACACTTTTGCACTGTTGGTGGGAATGTAGATTGGTTCAAACATTTTGGAGGACAGTGTGTTGATTCCTCAGGGATCTAGAACCATTTGACCCGATAATCCCATTACTGAGTATATACGCAAAGGAATATAAATAATTCTACTATAAAGACACAAGCATACATATGTTTATTGCAGAACTATTTATAATAGCAAAGACATGGAACCAACCCAAATCCCCATCACTGATAGACTGGATAAGGAAAATGTACATATACACCATGGAATACTATGCAGCCAGAAAAAGAATGAGTTCATGTCCTTTGCAGGGACATGGATGAAGCTGGAAACCATCACCCTCAGCAAACTAACACTGGAACAGAAATCCAAATACCACATGTTCTCACTCATAAGTGGAAGTTGAACAATGAGAACACATGGACACAGGGAGGGGAACAACACATACTGGGGCCTGTTGAAGGGCGGGAGGCAAGGGGAGGGGTAGCATTAGAACAAATACTTCATGCATGCGGGGCTTAAAACCTAGATGATGGGTTGATAGGTACAGCAAACCATCATGGCACGTGTATACCTATGTAACAAACCTTCATCCTCTGCACATGTATCCTGGAACTTAAAGTAAAATTAACAAAAAAAAAAAAAAAGAAAGAAAGTGTGGGCTGAGAAGTCACTGCAAAACAAGTCTAGTAGACATAAAATGATGAGATTATTTCAAGAGGCAAAGAGAGTGATTGCTAAGATTGATATATCTTCCAACAGACAATATAAACTTCACAATGTTAGAGAAAACCCAAAGTGATGTATGATACTCCCATAGAAAACCTGTAAATATATCACATTGGGTCTTCTATGGAAGCAATAATCAATTACTTTCAATGACATTTTATCTATTTGTACAATGAATTATGTGTCCATATTTGTTCTATTCATCTACAGAAGAAATACCTGCTATAAGAAATCATTCCAAGTAGTTATAGACATGTGCACTAGACAGTTTTAAAACCTCAATATCTCTGACTAATTAAATGTCTTTTTGATATAGCCAATGGCAGGGGCTCTCACAATGGTGCTAACAACCTGTGAAATCTAAGCAGCTCAGAACTTCTAAGAGCATCACTTGGGAGCATGAAACCGTAAAATAAAGACTCAGCCATTCTTTTTAACCTTTATGGTTTATAGTAGCAAAATTGAAATATAATAGTTGCAAACTAAATTTCTGTATGGGAAACTTAAACTCAGAGTGAGATGAAATTTAACAAAGTAAAATATAATATGAATTCACTGAAACAAGCATTGGGAATAGAAATGGTAAAAAACATTGCAGTGCATGCTATTAAAACAAAGAAAATGGTGCAAAAGTAAGGAATTTTCTAAAAGATTAAGATATTATATAAGATTTACTATTATACATTTCATATATTTTAACCATTTGGAGAGATGCGTAAGATCCTTTTAGCATAGAAATATTCTGTGTGTGTGTGTGTGTGTGTGTGTGTGTGTGTGAGTTTCTGTGTATACACAATAGATTCTAGATTAAATTCAAACAGTTATGTCCTTTCATCTCTTAACCTTCTGACTTTTGGCCACTAATCTTTATTCTTCAGCAAATAGAAAAATCAATTTCTACATCATCTGTATAAAAGTAAGAAAGGAAAAAAAACTCAAATTTTAAAATTAAGAGAATTGCTGAAGGAGACAGGAAATAATGAAATATATTTTTATAAAGAAACTAAGCTACATTCTCACTTTTTTTGTCTACTGTACGTAAAACACTGGAAAAATGCAGTACATTAGATGTAAAATGTACAGTATGATGAAAAAAGAACATAAAGTGTGTGATAACTCCAGGTAAACGTAAATGCTTTTTGGAAAAACATAAAATGCTCAAAGAAATTATATATCTTACATTTTTAAATGGCTCATGTCTCTCATTCGCATAGCATTCTTCAATTTTCCAAGCATGGCCATATATGCAATCTGAATTCTCAGTGGTAACAGCACAAAGAGGAAGCAAAGGTAGATAAAGAAACTGAGGTTAGAAGAACTGAGCTGTCACGTTGTTAAGGCTGTGGTCAGGATCTATCTCTGATGATTATCCTTTACACAAACTGAAAACAATTACCATTAGGTTTTATAATACTGTGAATGCGCATTATCTGTTTATGAAAATTGCATGAGAATATACACAGAAAAAATCCATTGGAAATGACTGTCATTTGATGAGGACATCATGTCACTGTTACTGCATTCTGTGTCATTTTACTACTTTAAGTGACAGATAAAATGAATATTTGAAAAGTCATCTCACTTTCTACTTAATCTCAACAACTAACAGGAAGGAGGAGTTGCAAACATTTTCACTGAACATTGTTCAGAATAACAGAAGTTCTTAAAAACTCAGTCAATATTGTTAAACTTTTGAGGGAAAATCAATTTATAAGTATTAGTTAAACTTTGATGTTAAGTTAGCAGTATTTACAGATATTATCTAATAATTATGTATGTGTGTATATATATACACATACATAACCGTAAACACACGCACATACATAGATATATATATGAGGAGAGAGAAAGAAAAATTATACACACAAAAATAGTGACATCAAGGCCTATCTTCCCCTATTTGCTACATCCTGTTGAAAGGCAGGACATTTTCACTGTCTAGTTCTCTCCCTAGATGGATGTACCTGGTGATCAATGGGTACATTGTAATTAACACTTTTTGACTGTATTATATTACTTCCAATGGAATGGAGTGCAAAATGGGACTTTTACCATTCTCTAAGTATTTTAGATAATTTCTCAAAGTCAAAGATGATTAATGATACATGTCTTCACTTCAAAAAATAAATATAGTCACATACTAGAAGGGCTTCTTAAGAGTTAGCCACATGGTCCAGCGATGAGCAGTCTCAATAGCCTATATGAGATAAGACTAACCATTCAATAAAGGAGGGGACTTTTAAAAGATAATTATATATCCCATAACTATTCCGGTGGGGTTTTCCCCTTAATTATAAAAGATAGAAAAGGACCGCATTTTATAAAATTCAAGTCAATTAGGAAGGTTCTCAAATGGAGCAGTGATAGAGATTCTGATGGTTTACAACAGGTGAAATAAACATCGCACTGTCTAGTTAAATATTGAAAGAACTGAAGAAATATTTAGGCTCATACAATGTAACATGTAGCTATTGGAATGGACAGTGGGAAAAAGTCTTAGGATAATTCACTTAGAGCCCCCTGAGATTGGGTTATGGATTATAGAGAATGGTACTTCACTGATTAGGCTGAAAGCAGAGATTATCTTGAATAGCCCCAAATAGTAAGGAAAAAAGAAAGAAGGTAGCAGCAGTACCAGTTACTTTTTAAGGCAATGGGACAAGGGTGCATAAGTCTCATGCTTCAATTATATGCAATGGAAGTTAGCTGAGTTTGCATTCTCATAAAAGATATTGCTCAAGAGAGCTATCATCTCGATAAGCAGATATCAGCAGACAGAGGAATGTCAACACTATCTCAAAAGTTGAAGGAATGTCACAAGAAGTCAGTTGGAGAAAACATGCCCTGTGTTAGAAGGTAGTTGGAAGGTCCAGTGGGATCTCCATGAATGATATCTAAAGAAATCACTAATGTGCTCCTTAAATTAGCCAGCATTAGAATAATGTATTTGCTTCAGCCAAAAGTTAAATATTAAGAAATCCAAAACAAAATGAATAGCCCTTGTCCTGGTTCTGAAACCTCATCATTCTATTCAGTCCTGAGGAGCTAAAATCAATAAATTAGGGTTTGGTACTGCAGGCAATATGGAGTGAGTGAGAAAATACATCATGCTGTTACTTTTCTACCACTGTCAATGAGCTACACATCAGACCTGAGAAGGTTGACTAGGGTTGGTGGTGAAAGGGAGGAAGAAGAAAGGCACTTTGAATTTGACGAGAAATTAAAAATTAGCATTAAATTGGATGGTGCACTTTAATATATAAAAATAAAACTGCTTTTTATACTGAGGACACTGATCTACTGGGCTGTAGTGTATGCTCAAGATGTCAACCAAGGTTGAGGATAAAATCTAAGAGAGCTTGTTTAGAGGCAATGATTTATATGCATAGATAAATAAATAAATTATGTTTTGGGTAGTTCTGCAGAGTCTGACTCATTCAATAAATTGTTTAAACTCAACCTTAGCATGTCAGAATAGGTATAATATTCACGTTCTAAGTGTTTCATTTTTCACTTTGAGGCTCAGGCTTTGCATCATACTTAGCTCCTGTTATCAGTTAGAAATCTAGGACTTCAGCAATTATTCTCCATTATGGTTGATTCTATCATAAGGTTGTTCAGTGACTTTTGTACTCTCAAGGCCCAGTTATTACTGGTCTAATAGTCATTGGCTTACTTTTTTTTTTTAATTCAGTGTCATACAATTTAGTAACACTGCTATGGTCACTAGGGCTTTTAAACAAATATTTTGGTTCTCCACATTGCAGCAAAATTTTACCACATAACAGACTTCAAAAAGTTCATAGAAAATGCATATTATAAAAAAGAAGTATAGACTTCAAAATATTTTGTGCCAAATTAAGCTCATAATAACTTTTTATAACATGTCTGAAAACTATCTAGTTGAGACACTAAGAAAGCTATCCATTAGAAAAGATTCCCTATCTAGGCAACATAGATTCTGCTAAAATTAAAGCAACATCAAACATCAAATTTATGGTGAAGCTTGGGTAAAAGAAGAGTGAAATCACTGACGCTTTCCAAAAAGTTTAGAGGGACAGTGCCCCCAAGAAATCAGCAGTTTACAAATAAATAACTCATTTTAAGAAGGGATGAGACAATGCTGAAGACGAGGCACACAGCGGCAGATAATCCACATCAACTTATGAGGAAAAACATTTATGTTTTCCATGGTCTAATTGAAGAGGTGCAACAAATAGCAGCAGAAAATGGATATACTAATGGGCTTAGTAAAAAATTAATGTGGAGCACACTTCCTAATCGATGGTTGTTAAAACCATTGCACCCAGATTAGCTTCAGACAAAGTAGAGCTTTCAATGGAAATTTTAAACAAGTAAAATCAAGATATTGAAACATTTATTGAAGGAATTGTAACAGGAAATAAAGCATGGCTTTACCAGTACAATCCTGAAGACACAGCACAATCAAAGTAGTGGCTACCAAGAGTTGGAAGTGTTCCAATCAACACCAATGCAGACTAGTCAAGAGAAAAGGTCATGCCACCATTTTTTCAGGATGCTCAAGGCATGTTGCTTATTGACTTTCTGGAGCTCCAGATAACAGTAAAATGTGCTTATTATAAGAGTGTTTTGGGAAAGTTTGCCCAAGCTTTAGCAGAAAAACACTTGGTACAGCTACACCAGAAAGTTCTTCCCCACCATGATAATACTCCTGCTCATTCTTTTCATGAAACCAGCGCAATTTTGCAAGAGTTTTAATGGGAAATTATTGGCATCCATTTTACAGTCCTGATTCAGCTATTTCTGACTTCTTCTTGTTTCCCAATCTTAAAAAATCTGTAAGGGGCACCCATTTGTTTTCAGTTGATAATGTAAAAAAGGTTGCATTTACATCGTTAAATTTCCAGGACCCTCAGTTCTTTAAGGATGAACTAAATGCCTAGTATCATTGCTTACCAAAGTGTCTGGAAACTGATGGAGCTTATGTTAAGAAATAAAGTCTATATTTTTGTATTTATCTTTTTATATTTTTATTTACCTTTTAATTCTGTTTTTCTATGAACTTTTTGAAATCCTCATGTATGTGTACAAGTGCATGTGTGTGCATGTGTGTTTGTGTGTGTATATGTATAGTGCAGTTGGAGAAATATGATTATTAAATTAGCATTAAATCAGAATGTGATGTGCATCACAGTCTACTCAGAGATTTCAAAGACAGAAAGAAATTGCTCTCTTTTATGTAGACATACAGAAACAAGAAATGACAAATATGTTCACAAGATGGGCAATAATTGATCCTCAAGAAAGAAGTCTTTAAAACACCATTTGTCAAAACATAGTTTATCTTGGTCCTGGATTCACCTGGAAATTGAGGTGGCCATCTGTTTTTTGCTAATTGACTTTATCCAAGGGAAAACACAACTCTCGCATCTTTATAATGGGAACTAGTTTTGGATCCAAGAGCCCTAGTGTAGTTAAATTTCTATTCTTCCACAGACACTGGGTGATAGGAGCACTATCTTTTCGATGATTATATGTCAGTGAATTGGTCCCTGGGCCTTGAGAAAAGCAATTCTGGGTTGTAAAGAAGACATGAGGCTTATTTAGCCTTCAAAAGTATCCACACAAATTTCAAAGATGAAGAAGTTATAATTACAAGTGTTCTAAAGTAAATGTGATTTTCCTTGAATTTATCCTTCTTCGATTCCATAGTGCTTTTTGAATATGTAAATTGATGTAATTTTGTCAGTAAAATAAATTCTTAGCCAGTAAATCTTTGGGTATTGTTTCTGCCATGATTACTTTCTCTTCAGTTCTCTATTGTATTTGCCAACCCTTTCATGTATGTTCTTCAGCTTGAATATTTCCTAATGCTCTATCTTCTATTCTATGAATCTTCTTTCTTGTCCAATTTGCTTAATATCATATATTGACCTATTAATTTTAGTTAAATGCATTTGTGAGAAATAGAATTTACAGCTCATTCTTTTTATAGCTTGCTGTCCTTTTGAAAACTTACTCTCATCTATACCTATTGATTTAGATATGTTAATTAGAGTTCTTTATAGTCTATATATGAGAACAGTAATAACTTGGACATTCCTGTGTTTGCTATCTCTTGCTTATATTCTTTTTCTTACATTTTTTTAAATATTCTGTTGATTTCTGATTCAATATAAGACATTGTCAAAGAAATTGTAAAGGTTTCAGATAATATCATTCTCCACAGAAGAAATTCCTCTTCTTAACACAATTACACTAAACCGACTAGTGGCTGGGTTGCATAATTGCATTATTTTTTAACTGCTGATTGTGCTTTACCTCCACTACTGGGGAGTAGATATATGGGAGCTCTAACTGACAGTATTGAGTATTTAACCACTGTTTTCCAGCCTTGTTAAGTCTTGAAATACAAATTTTGTCTCTTTAATGTTGTCAGACTGTGGACTAGTCAACAGATGGGTAGAGAGTATAGGCATCATCTTTTCTTAAACTACTTATGATACCAAAAGTGGTCACAATTTTTAGTCCACTCAGGACTTTGATTGTATTATACTAACATTTCAAAACATAAAGCTCTTTCTGATACTGTTCTACTTGATCAAAAATCCAATATTTCAAGCAAAATAAGTAATATACTATATTGTTATAGTGTAACTATACTGGTTAAAAGTGCAATTTGTAAATCAGGCAAATAGGGTGTGAATATGAGCTCTATCCCTTAATAGAAAAGTGGCACTTGGCAAGTAATAACACCTTATCTAGCTTAGGGATAAAAATAGTAATGATACAATGTTATTTATAAAATTTAATTGTTTTTTGCTTAAAAATATTTTTGAGTATATACATAAGATTTTAAAATCTGTTTTATATCTTGGGAATACAGCAGTGGACAATATAGTAAAAAAAAATCCTATCCTCAATGAAGTTTGAATTCTAATGTGAAGAAACAGGCAATAAACACCAGTAGACAATAACTATTGTATGTCAGATAGTTGTAGGTAGTATGGGGAAAAATAAGGTGCATATCAGTTATGCTGTTCCCAGTCAATACCACTATTGCCTAATTGGCTTATGAACAAAGTGACCATGGGGGAAGTGATAGTGGTTATGCATGGGATCAGGGCAGAACTGGTTATAGCCACTGTTGAGCGTCAATATGCGCACAGCAGAAACCAATACTTTGCCCCTAGTAAGGCACAGTTCCCTGGGATTTAACTGGTGTAATAGGCAATATTTTTTCTCACTGGGGTAGACACTCATTCTGGATATGGATAGAATTCTGGACTGCCTCCCTATCTGAAATGCTTCTGCCACTACAACTATTTATGGACTCAAAAATGCTGTATTCATCCTGTTGGCATTACACACAGCATCACTTTTGACCAAGCAAATAATTTTCTAGTAAATGAATTTTGGCAATAAGCCCAAGTCCATGGAATTCACTAAATATACATGTTCACCACTTTCTTGAAGCAGCTGGAGTTTTTAAACAGTGCAATGGCCTTTTGGATTTTTACTTTTAGTTATATCTAGGGTACAAACACTTGCAAAACTGAGGCAATGTTCTCTAGGCTGTGATACATGCGCTAAATCAGCATTGTATATAAAGTGATATGTCACCCATCACCAAGATTCATGGGTCTGTGAATCGAAGGGTGAAAATATTAATTATTATTATATGAATGTTTATATGTTGTTGGTAGTATGCAAAAATTTCTATGCTAAAAAAAATTAACCTGGGATTTGGCTATTTGATATTACTGTTCTGGAAACTTCATACCTCTAGAATCTAGAATTCAGCAAATAAGTCTTTCATTCATTTAAAATATTTCATAAAAAACTATTATGTGCCAGGCTATCAGCTAGACATATCACCATGTTTTACATACTGGTAATAAAGCAACAAATATGATATATTTGTGTATTAAAGGAACATATAGTTTAGTGCAGGTGAGAGATAAGTAAACATTATAATATTATACAATGCGGGAGAGGCTGTGTTAGGGAATGTGCCATGTGATTTGATAGTGCTTGTGGAAGGACTAATCCAACTTGGTAAACTCAGAGGAGTATTTCAAAAATTAATATATAAAATAGTGTATTAGATCACATAATGCCAACTTATTTATTTGTAATGAAAATTAGTCACCGGCCGGGCACAGTGGCTCACGCCTGTAATCCCAGCACTTTGGAAGGCTGAGGCAGGAGGATCACGAGGTCAAGGATTCGAGACCATCCTGACCAACATGGTGAACCCCCATCTCTACTAAAAATACAAAAAATAGCTGGGTGTGGTGGTGTGCAGCTGTAGTCCCAGATACTTGGGAGACTGAGGCAGGAGAATCGCTTGAACCTGAGAGGGGGAGACGGAGGTTGTACAGTGAACCGAGACCGTGCCACTGCACTCCAGCCTGGCGATACAGTGGGACTCCGTCTCAGAAAAAAAAAAAAAAAAAAAAAAAAAAGAAAAGAAAAGAAAAGAAAATTAGTCACCAGAAGACTGAATGCCTAGAAGATTTTCCCATTTATTCTCTTTTTGCCCATAGACCCAGGGCAAGCCAAAGTTATGTTGAATGAACATCCAATCAGAACAATGGAGTTAGGTAAGTCAAATGAATAAAATAGGGCCAGAGTTGGGTGCATCCCATTTTCATTAGCCATGTCTTTGAAAATGGTACCAACCATCTAGAGGCCTGTTGATTACAACCACTGACATCAATCTCTACATTAAGGAAGCTGACAAGGGTTTAATCTAGTTGGCTAAATGTAATTTTTCTGGATAATGCTCATATGAAAACTTTTGATATTTGCCTTTGAAGTTTTCCATTTTCTATAGTTTTGAGGCAGACCAACTCCTGACTTTGATAATGTCAAAGGGTTTTTGAGGTAGTCGAGATATTATTTTATAAGCTTTATTATTGAATAAATATTAAATTAGGAGCCCCAAGCCAGAGCTATGTAATTAAAACCCATCACCAACTTTGGGCAAGTCTCTAAATTCTTCTTTCAATTTCCTTGTTGTTGGGAAAAGGCCCCCCAAAATCTGGCCATAAACTGGCCCCAAAACTGGCCATAAACAAAATCTCTGCAGCACTGTGACATGTTCATGATGGTCCTAACATCATGGCCATGGTTGTGGGTTTACCGGAATGAGGGCAAGGAACACCTGGCCCACCCAGGGCAGAAAACCGCTTAAAGGCATTCTTAAATCACAAACAGTAGCATGACAGATCGTGCCTTAAGAACATGCTCCTGCTGCAGATAATTAGCCAAACCCATCCCTTTATTTCGGCCCATCCCTTGGTTTCCCAAAAGGGATACTTTTAGTTAATCCCGTTTCCATTAAGGGATACTTTTAGTTAATCTAATATCTATAGAAACAATGCTAATGACTGGCTTGCTGTTAATAAATACGTGGGTAAATCTCTGTTCGGGGCTCTCAGCTCTGAAGGCTGTGAGACCCCTGATTTCCCACTTCACACCTCTATATTTCTGTGAGTGTGTCTTTAATTCCTCTAGCACCACTGGGTTAGGGTCTCCCCGAACGAGCTGGTCTCGGCACTTGTTGAAAAGTAAAAACACAAAACCAGACAATTTCATTTTTCCAAACTTGGCTTTAATCATGCAACTCTATGATTATCGTAAATGGGTGGTAAAAATCAATAATTCCCTCTACTCATTCCAAGTCTGCTACGAAATCTTAACTGTGAGACCAGATTGAGTTTTCAATTGCTAACTCAAATGCATAGTGTTTATGCCATATAAAAAATGAATGCAATTTTTTGAATTTAGCACACAATCTTATAGGAATAAAATATATTGAAAGGATAACAAATGAATAAAGAATATTACATTAAATATGTAAGAATGGCAGTAGTTTGAGTCTACACAGAGCAAAATTCAATTATTTTTCTACATATGTAACTTTTTGAAGGCTATAATTTT
Source organism: Homo sapiens (assembly GCF_000001405.40). Classification (NCBI taxonomy): domain Eukaryota; kingdom Metazoa; phylum Chordata; class Mammalia; order Primates; family Hominidae; genus Homo; species Homo sapiens. The sequence continues at coordinate 85,112,346 of NC_000005.10, forward strand.
TTTTTTTTTTTTTTTTTTTTTGGTAGAGATGGAGTCTTGCTCTGTTGCCCAGGCTGGAATGCAGTGGCGTGATCTTGGCTCGCTGCAACCTCTGCCTCCCGGGCTCAAGCAATTCTCCTGCCTCAGCCTCCCGAGTAGCTGGGACTATAGGCGCACACTGCCACGCCTGGCTAATTTCTTTTGTATTTTAGTAGAGACAGGGTTTCACCATGTTGCTCAGGCTGGTCTGGAACTCCTGAGCTCAGGCAATCCGCCTGCCTGGGCCTCCCAAAGTGCTAGTGTTACAGGCATGAGCCAATGCACCCGGCCTTTGAAAGTTATAATTTTTATGCTTTGTAGGAATCTGAAAAACATATGTATTATATACTGAAGCAAATTTTTGTATTACTTCTAACTTCCAAATGTTGAGGTTAATATGACACTGGAGTTGACTACAAAGAGCTGATATGTAAAGAATATTAAATGTTTGTTTTTCTTTCCTGAGCAAAGACAACGTTAAAAAGTTCTTAATTTGCTTTGTGAAAGCTACTGATGATAGGGCCTACATGCCAGGCTGCAGTGATAGTGATAAATGGTGTTGATGCCGTAGGGTGATACCTGACTAAATTAGCTGGTAAAGCTAAATTGTGTTCATTTTCAGTTTTTAATGCCGTGTAGAAGTGATGGTTGTTCAGCCACCATTCAATTGACTTTGCTTACTTTGTGATTTAATTGCGTAGAAGGTAGTAATAAAAATTTAGAAATGTATTAAAAAAGGGAGAAATGTGCTTTAACTACAGACACTAAGAATAAGATATGCTAACAGGAGTCCAGGGAGCTTTAGGAATGTTGAAGCAATTCAGTTTAAAAGCTTCTTCTTTTTTTACACTTTATTATAATTGCTAAGAAAACAACTTTTTGTCTGGAGAATATAGAAACTCATTCTCACGATGGAGTATTATGAAATTATAAAGCTTGGAAGTGGAAAGTATGCAAAAACATACAGAAACATACTGATAATGATCTCATTAGTGTATCTTTCAGACACTCTCCTCCCCCTTCGTAACTTCCTTTTAAGGATGCAGCTAAGTGAATAATTACATTTACTTTATCATTACCATTATTATGGTGCAGCATGTGCCTTTTGAAATTTTTTAGAGTAATAATAATTAAGATGAGTAGACTACCTTCTTGGATATGTATTTATTTAGTGTATCACATAAATGAATAGGAAAAGAAGAGAAAGAAACTGGAGGGAATAAAAGGATACTATGAAAAAGAAATCTCAGTATATAACTGTAAAACAGAGCAAATTACAAGCTGTATGTACTTTAAAAATTGTTACACTAAACAGAACGTATGCAATAAGGAAGCATCACTATTTGTGCATTTATGAACATAAATTACAAATGCCACAAAAAGTTAGAAGAGGTAGGACTCTGAAGACCTATCACTCCCTAAGTAATATTTCAGGTTAATGTGCTCTTCTATGAACTCTTATAATTCACGAGACTATTAGAATGTGATCTCCGATTATCTTAAATCTGAATTTGTGTTATGGGTTGCTGTTCTATGTAAGAGGGATTTTTCTTTTAATTTGTTTGTTTGTTCTGATGTCCTGGAGGGCAGACTTGCTCACAGAAATAAGCAATGAAAAGTTTACTTTGTTTAATTAATTTGCAGCTTACTGAAGTCACACATTTTAAAACTTAGAAGTATTAAACTTATTCTGTGTCATTAGAATTAACAACTTTAGCAATAACTTTTTAGTAAACCTTTGATAAATGTATAGGCTGATTAAAACATTCATATACTTTCAAATATTTTTGACAATCTTTATATAGTTTATGTGTTTAGTCTCCTTTTTTATATATTTCAGTTATAATCTTTCTCAAGTAATTAATCCAGTAAATATTATAAATTAAATATTTAAATATTATGAAACCTAAAGTCTCTTAAATATGTCAGTGTACACTGTAAATTATTAAATTTCTACAAAAAAAGCAAATCTACAATAATGCTGTAAGATATTGTCTGTGCACTTTCATTCTTATTTCTCTGAGTAACTTACATGGACTTACCACAGTTTTTTCCCTTCATTTATATAAGGGTGGAGATTTGGATTACTTCTATTTTTTGCCAATTATTAATAATACTGCTGTGGATATTCTTGTGCATATATTTTTGTTTGGGCATTAAGTTCCTTTTGTTGTTAAGTGAAATTAATAGTAACAAAAGAGTATACACCATCATCATTTTAAAATTAAATTTATTGAAGGCATGAAGGTTTCTTTACACAGTATTATCAAGGAGTTGTGACTCAAACATTTCTATCTTTGGCTATAGATCTTGTGCATGATGGACAAGGCATTAGCACACTAAGATAGTAATTACATCATTCCAAATAATTTGAGATTGGAGAATATTAATCAAGGTTGCCTAAAAATCTATGCCACTGCCTGGATTCTTTAGACTATTCTGATTGAATAACTGAATCTATTTTTTTCAATTCTATATCAATGGCTTCATAACACAAAATAGATGGTTCTGTAGTCCAAAGCCTTATATTAAGTTATGCCCTAGCCAGTTATTTATTAACCAAGTTATCTACATCAATAATTCAGTTTTCTATATCGCTTAATTTGATTTTGAAGTTCTTTGGTCCTTCGATAATGTGATGATTTTCTGTGTCTAATTCTAAGCACATATGCATTTGTAAAACCCCTGCAGGTCTTTCCTGTAAATCCAATTTCTTAGAATCATATGATGTTTACGAACGATACTATCATATTTGATAAATCTGGATCCTTCTCACAGCTTCCACTGATTTTTCTGATACAACTTTCTAGGTCAATTTGCACATACTTGCAAAATACGTTTTTCTAAATCTGAAAATTTGACCATCTAGTGATTAAGAATAAAAAATATCTTAGTGAAATGTAAAAAGCATTTGATTTTGAAATAAGAATGATAAAGTTTTTGGGAAATATCTTTATGAATAGGTGTATATCACTTATTACAAATTATCATCTTTGAGTTTTTATTTCTTAAGTAGAAATACATTTTATAATCTGTTTCCAGTAAAATGTTTGGTCTAAATTCTCAAAGAATATATTTAGACTACTTTAACAATATTAATTTTAACATATTTATGCAATGTCTTTCTTATAAACATTAACACTAATCAATTGCCATGCTGAAAATTAAAACCTGTAGTTCTAGGGTCTGTGCTTTCAATTTAATTACTTTGAGTTTCTCCATATGAGTATTTTTTAGTTAGCAGTCTATTTCCAAACATCTATAGTACAAGGCATTGTAAAGATGAAACGAAATTGTCTACGTAGGTTTTAGCACAGTGGTTAGTGCCTAGTTAGGTGGTTTGTAAAACTTAACCACTTTTATTTACAATGCTATTTCTGAGGTCTTGAGGTCTTAAAAGACTTGTTATTGTTTAATTGCTAAGTTTTACATTTTGCGTGTGTGTCCAGAACTATAGGTCAAACTTCCTGAAATAGCTCCTTTGTAATGTGCACATTTCTTCTAGGGAAGCAGGTTTCAAAACACTATTTTTCTCCCATAGGATTGGCTTACTGTTTCTTTTGGAATTCTTGTTGTTCTCATCAGGACAGGCAAAATAGTGTTAAAAGTAATTCCACATAGAAAAAGAAAGAACCCAAACTAAATAATAAAAAATTTCAATTAAAAAATTTACCTTTGGATTATTATATGATATGTAAAATGACTATATGATATAATATGATACTGGAAACTAGTGATAGCTTCATAGATATAATCACCTATTATAGTCAGAGAATGAGTATAATAAAGCTTTTTAAATTAATAAATACATATGTTTTAGGGCCTAAATGAGGCAATTAGAAAAGATGAACTTTGAATACATCCTTTTACTCCTTGATAATTTCAAAAGGAATATTTTAATTTTACTTTAGCTTTACCATTAATATAAACACATCATAACGTGGTTTTTATTTAACAAGTTAAAACTACAAATTAAAAAATAATTTCACCAAAAATGTTGTTTTCCAAAAAGCAACAGCAATGAGGAAGTATATGTACAGTTAACTCTTCAAATTTTTACACTAAAATTAAATTGAATATAAATAAAATAATTAATAAATTAAAAATATAAAAACACAGCAATAATGACTAACAGTTTTGACCTTAGCCTTTTAATGTAATTTATCTAAAACTGAAGTGAGAAAAAGTTGCTCTTGTTTTGTAAATAGGTTTCTATTATTTTTAAATTAAACATAATTAATAATGATCAAAATGATACTGCCCAGCAAAGTATGAAAAAAATGGTAATCATGATTATCTGTTTATATGTGTTGTACATGTTTACAAGCTGTTATGGTTTGGCTGAGACCCCATCCAAATCTTATCTTGAATTGAAGCTCCCATAATTCCCACTTCTTGTGAGATGAACCTCATTGGAGGTAATTGAATCATGGGGACAAGTTCTCTCCCGTGATGTTCTCATGATAGTGAATAAGTCTCATGAGATCTGATAGTTTTATAAATGGGAGCTCCCTTGCACAAGTTGTCTTGCCTGCAGCCATGTAAGAAGTGTTTTTGCTCCTCCTTTACTTCACCATGATTGTGAAGCCTCCCCATGTGGAACTGTGGAGTCAATTAAACCTCTTTCCTTTAAAATTCTGAGTCTCAGGTATGTCTTTACTACCAGCATGAGAACAGACTAATACACAAGCATTTCAAAAAATATATAGTGAATACACAGCTTTTGACCTTTTGAAATTTTTTTTAAAGAAAATAATTGCATAAGTCAAAGTATGTCACACAGATATTTTGTAGATCGTAAAACAAGTCATAGAAGTGTGCAAGTATTGACTGGGCACGGTGGCTCACTCCTGTAATCCCAGCACTTTGGGAGGCTGAGGCGGGCGGATCACCAGGTCGGGAGATGGAGACCATCCTGGCTAACACGGTGAAATCCCATCTCTGGCCGGTCGTGGTGGCGGGTGCCTGTACTTCCAGCTACTCAGGAGGCTGAGGCAGGAGAATGGCATGAACCTGGGAGGCGGAGCTTGCAGTGAGCCAAGATTGCACCACTGCATTCCAGCCTGGGCAACAGAGCGAGATTCCGTCTCAAACAAACAAACAAACAAAAAACAACAACAAAAAAGAAGTGTGCAAGTATTATTATTTATTTATTTTCTCAAAATATTATCATTAATTCTCTTGGCTTAACTGATATTATAGTTTACTGAAGAAACATCTCTAAATCATATACAAAAAATAACTGTTTTTGGATAATGGGAAAAAAGGTAAATTATAATAAAAATATCTGTAGTCCCTCATTCCTAAATTTAATCCTAAATTGTAGCAATAGAAAAGTAGTATAGTGTGGAGAGTATGCGCTGTCCCTGAAGCCAGATACTACCATATTTGTATCCTGCATTATCTACTTTATACATATTCTTGTACAAAATAACACTTCATTGATATTTTTCTCATCAGCATAATGGAATTGGAATTTTAGTAAAGATTGTGGAGAAGCCATGTAAATATATTAATGTCTCTGAATAGATAGAGCTTTTAAGCCAAGAAAGCTTGTATTTGGGATAAAAAACAGCCCTTGTAAGTTAAATGTTAACAGTATACAGAGTGAAAGAACTTCAGGTAGATGTAGGGGTTTATTTTCCTAGAGTTGTGCTTTTATATTTCCAAAGGGGACAAACTCTGAAGTAACCATCCACATTCCAAATTATTTGTTTACATTAGGTGTATCAAGTTTCTCTCCCTATTGAGAGGAGGGTATGTAGCAGTGCCTACATTAGTGCCCATAGTCATAGTTTTAGGATTTCTCTCCTGTGGTACAGAACTGTTTATTTGAATAGTTGTAACTATCTGGCTTTCACTACATCACCCCATATTAGGGAGAATGGTGTGTCAGTAACTGATGCTGTTATTGCTGTAAATATTAATAATAATAGTCTGTCTCTGATTGAAGAACTCTATGCTTGCTTCAGGACAATATATTTAAATATAGATATTAAAAACTTTCAAGGATTAAATGATATATGTAAAATGTTCAACTTAATAATCATAATAAATTCTAAAAATCATTAGTTATTTTTAATGATAGCTGTTCAGCACAACTGTTGTCTAAGAGCTTGAATGGGTTTTTAAAATATAACAAGCATGTTGTATGGCTTTTTTGGATTTAAAATCATCTGCATGCTTTTTAATTCAATTTATAGATCAGAAAATAATCTTGCTGGCATAGATTTATTTAATAGAGTAGAAAACAAATATTTGAAGTATATGCAATTACATTGGAAAACTGTGGTAAGTAAGGTATTAAACATAAAATTCCTATTGTGTTAGCAGTCTTGAGACATGTCCCAATATGACAAAATGGGCTTTTAATTTGAGAATAGAAAAAAAGCAAAAATAGAATTGCTAGGAATCATATAAAAAATCAAATTTTCCTGCTGGTTTATGATTTTGTATTCTATAAATTCTACTCCTGCTGGGTGATTAACCAAATTGACTTTTAGACTGAGTCACTAACAAAACAAAAACCATATAAATCACCTACTTTTAGTTAGTTATCTTTTTTCTTGCAAATCAACTTTACTGAGGTATACTTTACCTACTCATAAATAAAATACACCCTTTTGAGGTCTACTATTTAAATCGTTTCGACAAACACTTAGCTATTTAAAATATGTTATCTCTGTTTTCTCTATATGTTTCATATCATCTCACAAAAGTTCCTTACAACGATTTTCTGGTCCATCCTTCAAACATATTTGTAATACCTACCACCTACCCTTCTCCATATTGAACTTTGCAAGGCAACCAATGAACTGCTTCCTGTTACTATAGATTTGTTTCCAATTTTTAGAGTTTATATAGAGATATAATTTTAGAGATATTAATGGAATCATACAGTATGAATTTTTTGGTCTAACTTCTCTTACTCAGTATAATTATCTTGAAATGCATTGTGACTATCAGTAGTTCATTTTCTTTGCCAAATAATATTCCACTGCATTGGTATGTCATCATTTATTATATTTTACTGTGTGGATATGCAACATCTCCTCATCACTTTCATGTTGAAGGACATTTAGGTTACTTACTTTTATTCTAGTACAAGTAAAGCTGCTATACATTTATAAATTTATAAATGTAAATATATTTTTGTATAAATTTTTCTGTGGGAATATGACTTTGTTTCTCTTTGGTTGGTTTTGAGTTAATTTTTATACACGGTGAATAATTACATTTTTGAATTTTTAATTATTTATTTGATTTTATAAAAATAAATATTAATTATCTAGTAAAAAACTCCAACTTGAAATTAAATTTATTGAGCAGATTACATAGCTATTTCAATATTTATCTCTTATTATCCTAGTAGTCAGGTTTTCTGTGTTTCTTTTATTCTTTTATTTTCTCTTAGTACATTTTCTTATACATTATTGGTAATTTTTAATTGATAAATAATTTATATTACAAATTTTATGATGTTGCTTTCTTATGGAGAAGGTAGACTTTATTCAATTTACTGGCATTAGCTCATACTGACTTATGCCAAATGTGTGAATTTCTTCACAAATCTGTGTTCAGTTATGTCATGTCAGTAGCTTGAAATTAGCCTTATTGGAGTGTTTACATCATGTAAATCTACAACTCTTACAAATCAAGATATTTCTTTTTTAAAGAAATAGTTTTTTAAACACTTAACAGTCCCCTAATCACTCTATCCTCTCTTAAGAGAGACTGGTGAAAGCTTACGTTAATTTAAAAAGATACTTTGCTAACTTGAGTATTCATTGCAGCGGTTTGTGCCAAGTTTAATCTATTTTCAGTTTGCTCCAGGTCTTAAGGGCTAGATGCACTTCTCCTCTTAACACTGTGATAATGGGGAAATTACACACCTTACTTTTGCAGATTCCTTGCTAATAGGTTGGATATTTTTGTTTGTTCATTTGTTTTTAGTCTTTTTTTAAAAAAATATTGTTCACAAATGTATAAAATGTTTCAAGTGAAAAATGGGTAGAGTTTTGCACCTGACTTCCTTACACTCCTAAGATGGTTTGAATGTCTGTGTCGTCTAAAAATTCGTATGTTGAAACCTAATCACCAGTTTGACAATATTAGGAGGTAGAGCTTTTGGGAGGCCATTAAATAGCCCTCAGAGCCCACCAATTCAGAGCCCTCATGAACTGGATTAGTGCCCCTATTAAAGGGGCCTCAGAGAGCTGCCATTTCTCCTTCCACTATATGAGAGCACAACTAGAAGACACCATTTGTAAACTAGAAAATGAGCCCTAATCTGACACCCAACATTATAGGTGCCATGAACTTGGACTTCTCAGCTTCCAGAATTTTGAGAAATAAATTTCTGTTGTTTATAAGCCCCCCAGTTTATAGTATTTTGTTATAGCAGCTCGAATGGACTCAGATACCTCACTGAATTCTCACTAAATTCTAGCTACAGTTCAGGAATTAGAAATGGATCTAATTCCAATTTTTGTCTTTCCAACCTTCAGGATTATCAACATTTCTCTACCTTTTAGATGTTGTCCTTTGTCTCATCTTTTGGCAAGATTCACAAATATTGCAGAATGTTGGTTCACCTCCCTGAAGTTTCTGTCTTTTCAAGATCTGCCTTGGCCACTTGAGCCTTCTTTTTCTTGGTCATTCTCTTAATATATAAATTTATGTTTATGTAGATTTTTTATGTGTTCTCTTTATTCTACTATAATTCACTTCATCATAGACATAAATGGAAGTCCTCTTATCTATAATTTTAAGGCAAATCTCTTTACTCTGAATATCACCAAGATTACATGGAAATACTCTTAATTAAAAATAAATGTTTTCATAGTTTAAAATACATATATTTTAAATATCCTTGTTGCTAAATCTATCAGTCAATGCTCAGACTGCCTCTTACTTTTCTTAATACTTGCTTTGGAGCTTTTCATTTCTTTGAAATATTTTCTTCACTTTCATCCCAAGATAATATCCTTTCCTAGTTTTCTTATCATCTTATTTAACTTTCCACATGAGTGTGATTCTCTAGATTATATTCATCTCTGAAACCTGTGAACATTTATATGCTCAAGATGTGGTCTTCAGATCTCCTCTCTTTTCTATCACCAGCAAGCTCTCTCCTTCAGACTTGAGACTTGTGTATTTCAATGTGCACCCTATGTTTCTACCTTGAAGATCTAACTAATATTCAGTAATTGCTGTCATTTCCTTAACACACAAAATTAGTCTTGAAAGCATTTCTTCTGATTTTACTGATGAATTTTAACTCACCATAAACTAGGTGCATAAAATTATGTGTAAATGTATTCTGTATGTTATGATGTGTTTCATGTGACAACATATTAAGAAAGTTGCAGCAATACTGTTAACAAAATAAATATGACCTTATAAAATGTCCTACCCCGTTAATTTTGGTTCATGGTCTTTTGAGTGTATCACTAGGTCTTCGTTATCTCTTCTTAAAAATTTGTTATAACCCCTTCAAGACAAAAACATGTGTTTTTAAGTATCCAGATTTCCTAATATGTATTTTCTACCAATAAAATATTTCAAAAATAAGTGTTCACCTCAGTTACCATCTTTCGAAGAAGTTCCATTTGCTTCATTTAATAGTCTACTGTTATTTGTCTTAAGCTTTTCTCTCTTAATGTTTATAGGTTTCTCTAACTCTAGACTGCAAAAATGAACAAGTTCCTGTTAGTACTATCTCTATATTTTTAGATTTTATATGTACAATAATTCCTTCTGGCAACTTTTGCCATTAAGGTTTGATAGCTACATTAGAAAGATAATGAGTTGAAAAGACAAGAAAATTCCCTGAGCTACCTTTTTTTATATTTAATAGTTAAATCCAGTGCTTACTGGGGACGTGAGGAAGACAAAGTCATATAAAAAAATCCATATTTATAATGTCTAAATTTTCAGCTAAGAATATTTGTTAACTTTAACAAAATTTTCTGTTTCAAGAAGTTTTGCTGTTTTTTCCTTAATCTTGCACAATTTATCATCAATGAAACCTGACATCTCATATTATAAATATTTAAAATTTATATTTCTTAAGAATTTTCCCTAAACTCCGTAACAATAAACTCAATTACCTAGTTCTCTATATTCCTAAATATTAGGGAGGCTTATTACAATCTGTTGGTTTATAATTTAGAAATTTATTTTGGTTCCACATGGATAAGAACAACTGGTTTTTATTTTTAAAACTATGACTTTGTTTGCTAGAAATATAGAATCATAGTAGTCTCTTTTCCTGTCAGAACAGGGGAAATATTTATGTCAAGGCTATGGTTTCCTACCTCTTGTTTTTATTTTCTTAGTGATTTGTAAAATGTTCTGTTGTTAACCAGTCCATCTGGTTACAGGCCTTTTTTCCTGCTTTACATGTCCTTTTCCAGATCATTGAGATGGAATAAATTGTTTCTAGTTTCTGTGAATACAGATACTCAGACTGAGTTATATAAACGGCAATATCCACAAGTGATCATTTCATGCAACTCCCTACTGCTACATAGAATTATGCATAAAGTAGCATAGCAGCACTGTTCTATTTCAAATTTTTGAGAAAATACAGCAATACTCTTTTTAATATTTTATCCAAAGCTGTATTTTGTACATGCCTTAGAGAAATCATTTTGATCTTTTTGCTATTTATATAACTTTCCAATTTGAATTGTCCAGTTCATGGACCTGGTTTTTTGGTTTGGGGCTTGATGATTATTTCTACATGGCATTACCTTTGATTTGCACCCCTATGAGTATTCTAATGTTCCTTGACCAGTGCTGTCTTCAGATTCTTGCCCAGGGCCAGACGGATTCACAGCCTAATTCTACCAGACATCCAGAGAAGAATCGGTACCAATTCTACTGAAACTATTCCAAAAGATGGAGAAGGAGGATTTTCTCCCTAACTCATTCTATGATTCTGGTATCACTTTTATACTAAAGCCATGAAAGGATGTAATAAAAAAAGAAAGCTATAGACTAGTATCTCTGATGAAAATAGATGCAAAATCCTCAACAAAAATACTAGCAAACTGAACCCAATAGCACATAAAAAAAAAAACATAATTCTCTATGGTCAAGTGGTTTTCATCCCAGGGATGCTGGGATGTTTCAACAAACACAAGTCAATAAATGTGATTCATCACATCAACAGAATTAAAAACAAAAACCACAGTTATCTGAATAGGTGAAGAAAAAGCATTCAATAAAATCCAGCATCCCTTTACAATAAAAACCTTCAACATACTAGACATAGAAGAAACATACCTCAAAATAATAAAACCATATATGACAAACCTAGGCTTCACTACAATACAATTCATTTATGTAATCAAAAACAACTTGTGTCTCTAAAGCTATTGAAATAAAAAGAATTCCATTTTGTAGACATATCATATTTTCTGTATCCATTCATTCATTGATGGACCCTTAGTTTGAGCCACTATCTCGGCTATTGTGAATTGGGCTGTAATAAACATGGGAGTGCAAACATCTCTTCAAAACACTTATATTCTTATTTTTTGACATATACTCAACAGTGAGATTGCTGGATCATATGACAGTTGTACTTTTAGTGTCTTAAGGAATGTTCAGACTGTTTTCCAATACGGCTTTACTACTTTATATTCCCACCAACAGTGAGGGCTCCCCTTTCTCCACATCCTCACCAGCATCCATTTTTTTTTGTCTTTTTGATAAAAGCCATTTTAACTGGGGTGAGATAATATCTCACTGCCATTTTGATTTGCATTTACCAGATGATTAGTGATGCTAAGCATTTTTTAATATACCCATTGGCCATTTGCATGTTATCTTCTAAGAAATGTCTGTTCAGATATTTTGCTCACTTTTAAATTGGATCACTTGGCTTTTTGCTATTGAGTTGTTTGAGTTCCTGTTTATTAATCCCTTGGCAGCTGACTGTATTTTCTATATCCAATAATTTGTAAGCAAGAAATACATTTTCTATATGAATATTTATGAGCAAAATATAAGCCTCATTTCTCATTTAGGCATGTTTTTGCAATTTGTGTGTCTGTTGGCCCATGCTTTCAAGAGTATACTTTAAAAGAAGGAGAAACTATTGATGGCATGAGACCTCTATCAATATTTCATTATGAAAATTTTTCAAATATGGGGAAAATTTTAAAGACCATTTCAATAAGTACTCTAACACAGCTTAGATTGTATCATTAAAATATCTGCATTAACACGTCTGTCACTACAATGTGTCTATATTCTTCTAATAATTTCATTTTAATTTTGATGTGTTTTAATTAATTCATATAAATCAGAGGCAATTTTTTAAGGTTTTTTATAGTAAAACATACATAGAATTAGATGGATAACTCTTAAAAATTTATTTTCTGAGCTTTCACAAGTGTATTAATTCATGTAACACTAAAATATACAACATGACAATCACCCAGAAAGAACCCTCATGCCTCTTCACAGTGTGACATGATATAAGGAGTAAGATTAATTTTATTTTCTGTCACATATGAATACTAAATTATTCCTGTAGTATTTGTTTAAAAGACTTTCCTTTCCCCATCAGATTGCCTTGGCATCATTATTTAAAATCAAATAAATATACCATTTGAATCCGTTTCTGGACTCCGTAGCCTCTTCAATTGATCTATGTGTAGATTCTATGCCAATACCACATTGTCGTTATTATTGAAGCTTTATAGTAGTCTTGAAATTATATAGTGTATGTTTTTATAATAGTGCTTTGGCATTTCTGTAATATATACAATTTAGAATCAACGTGTCAATTTCTATTTAAGAAGGCCTACTAGCATGTGACTGGAATTTTGTTAAATCTATTATTATATGTTGGAAAACATATCTTAACCATATTAAATTTTCCAATCAATGAGCACTCCTATGCACATAATTTATTATCTTTTAAGATCTTCAGTATATTCCGTAGCATTTGGTATAGAGGTCTTAAACATACTTCTTTATTTTTCTATATGTCTTACCTTTATAGCTTTCTTGTAAAATCCCACTACTAACAGTGAACCTACCATGTATAATTTCAGTCATTTTAAATGTTTTGAGATTTGTTTATATTCTCCATATAGATTATCTTGATAAACATTCCATATGGTTTTAAAAAGCTAACCAACAAGGTTAAGAAGAATGAAGATTTGTGATCCACGCTTGAGATTGTGGATCACCTTTGTGACATGTTTTCTAAAGAGATGTAAAGTTTAAAGGTGTACTGAAATGAGTGAAGTACAACTAAGAATAAATAAAATAGAAATAATATTAAGCAGCTGTTTCAAAAAATTGGTGATATGAATTATTTATATTGATCTTATATGTTATCATTTCCATTTTTTTTCTGAAGAATCTATCACTCATTTAACAAACATTTTTAAATATAGATCTATAGTTGTCCATTCATTCCGACCAAATTTTGAAAAACAACTTAACATATGCCTAACTGTAAATTTCTACAAAGTAAGCTTGTTAAAGTATTGGTGGTGGTGGTTTATAAAAATTAATTGATATAATGACTAACTGAAATATTCCCCTCAACTGAAAATCATGGCTTTATGGTTCCAGTATAACACAAAATCTCTAATGTTTGGACTATGGTGGTTAAGAGTTCAAAATAAGAAATAGTTTGACTTACACCAATAGAAGTTTTTCATTACTTTATTTATTTAAGGAACAGGCTAGGCGCAGTGGCTCATGCCTGTAATCCCAGCACTGTGGGAAGCCGAGGTGGGGTGGATCTCCTGAGGTCAGGAGTTTGAGACCAGCCTGGCCAACATGGAGAAACCTTGTCTCTACTGAAAAATACAAAAATTAGTTGGGCATGGTGGCACACACATGTAATCCCAGCTACTTGGGAGGCTGAGGCTGGAGAATCGCTTGAACCTGGGAGGCAGAGGTTGCAGTGAGCCGAGATCACGCCACTGCACTCCAGCCTGGGTGACAGAGACAGACTCCATTTCAAAAAAATAAATAAATAAAATAAAGAAAGAAATAATATTCTTTCAGAACATAGACTGAAAATTTTCCAGCACCCCCCCTCAAAATATCCTTCTACATACCACTTTTATATAGGATCAATGGCTTTATATACTCACCCATGATTATCCTATCTTAGGTTAAATATTCATGCTATATATCTTTCCAATTTTCTTTTTATATTCTATGTGCTGGCACCTTAATGCTACATTTTCAGGACTCACGGTTCTTTCTTTGGACCATGTAGTAGTGATAAAATGAAAAAATAAAGTGTCATGATATACATTTAGAAAAGCATTGAATCGAACCCAGAAAAAAAGTCAAATACTAACTTTGGTACTAACCAACATGTGATCTTGGTTGAGATGCATATTTCATGTATTTTGTTTTTAAAATGGAGGTTAATGGAATGTTCTTAATTGCTTTAAAGATTATATGATGTAATACATGTGAAAGCCTCTAGGTAAAAAATAATAGAGCATAGTAATCCTTTTCTCGATAAAGATCATATTATTTTAGACTGTTAATATTTGCAGGCTAATTCTGAAATTACATCATTGGGCTAGATAATTAATTTATGTGAACATTTTGCAACCCATTGAAATGGATTCTGGCACTGACACATATCATTTCCAGACAAGTAGAGAAACTGAAACTTTCAGAACACAAGGGTGATGCCTGTTAATTTATTTGTGCTTTGGCCTTTATATATTCACTGTACTAGAGAAATTAATGTTATTCTAATAACTTGAAACAGTAAATGCTTCCCTCTAAATTGATATGACAGAATTTCTTAAAAGCTGTAAAGCATACCCCGTCTTTTTCACTTTCTTGCCCTTATTCTTAATGACTAGAAATTTATCTATCAACATAAATAAAAGAGGACCTTATTGAAAAATACATATATTAGTCTGTATTTTTTAAATTTATGTATTTATTTCTTTCAGTAAGGTCTTTTTTATTATGTAGGTATGTGTGTGAGTGTATATACATATATATATATATATATATATGTTGTATGTATATATAATGCATTTGTATATGTATGCAAATACATAGAGGTATTAGTATTAAATACGTCCCACAAGAAGAAATTGACTTATTTGAAGAGGTGAGTCATCTTAAGATTTATGCTGTTATAACCTATAAATACCCTTATGTATATAAATTACTGATGAACAAAACTTATGTCCATGAATCATCTCTGCTGTTCAGTGAAATTTTTGACATTGTTTAATATAGTAATATTTGGGCTAAATATTTCTGCTCTATGTTTTTCTAGTTTAAAAAAGGAGTATTTTTGTACAAAAAAAGTTATGTATTAGGCCTATACATTTACTGACTTTCAGTAAGACACCAGGACTGATATGTATAAACAACACTCATTTGGATCAAAATAATATAAAATATTTCTTAAGGCCAAAAGTCAATGTACTTGATAGAAACAAGCACCCATAATTCAGTGTAAGGATTATTACTCTTAAATATATTTGCTGTAGTATAGTCATGACTCCAGTGTACTAAACCTCTGAAAATAATATCTACCTAAATGCCACAGAGGTTGATATTATTTGGATTATGCTCTTTAGTAGCTCTGAATATTTTAACTTACTATATTGTTAAAACTGACAAGTAAACTTTTTCTTCTTCCTTTAGTTAACGTAGGTACATGGAAATGACAGCAAGGGATAAAACTCCTGAAAAAAAAGAAAAAGCTAGCCCTAAAAGAGTAAGATTTTAAGAAAATCAGCAGCATACAATGGGTGGGATTAACTAATTACAGAAATAACACCGATTATTTGTGAGCAAACGTGTGCTTAAATTGTAAACTCCAGTTTTTAGAAGTTCATTAGAATATAGGGAGGAATGTATGTTGTTATAAATCTACAGCTGGTGAAGGATCAGGTGCATCATGCTCTGTTTGAAATGACTAATCAAGGTAACGCTAGGTTATGTTGTGATATATTCTCAAATCTCATAAGCGTCACATAGTGAAATTCGCATCTTAACATCCCAAATCAGTTGTGAGGTTAACAGCTCTAGCTCTCAAGTGCAGTACTCCAAGCTGTTCTCATATGTGGTTGTGCCATGTCGTCCTGTGGCCTTTACATTTGCTTCCAAGAAGAAAAAGAAACATGGAGGAGACCTATTCATACCTTTATTATTTCATCCTAAAGCGACTCATGGCATTTCTACTCACATTTCATTGAAAGAACAAGTTACACAGTTCCAAACTAATTGCAGGAATAGCTCGGTGATGTTAAATAGATATTTAGTGATCACTAATATTCTCAGACACATATTGTTTATTATGTTACTATTATTGTTGTTGTTATGAAGTGTAGTTTAAAAAAACAAAAACAAAAAATTTCACACTCATGAAGCATCCCTCTATTTTCGTTTGTCTCTCATGTAACTTTTCTACTAGGCAAGTTATCACGCATAGGTATGTTTGTCTGATTGGTGGTTCTATTACCATTAAAAAATAGTAAGTCAATCTCTTCTGACTTTGGTTAGTATGAATTCTCTCTTAGACACCTATTAACTCACTTGCATACGCTTAATGCCAAAAAAAAAAAAGTTCAATCTAAGAACCTGAGCCTGTAGTTGAGTAAAACTGCCCTACTACGTGAGACTTTTTAAAATAAAAGCACACATACCCTCAGCGTTTTCTTTCATACTTGTCTATAAATTCAACGATATAAGATATGGTGTACACAGAATGGTGTTACAGAACCCTCAAAGTCAATGTTTATTAATTATGCATATATTTACAAAAATTTCTTTGAAAACAATTTCATTCATCTCATCTTGAAAACATAATTCCACCTAAAACTTAGCATTATTTATTTAGATACAAACAACTGAGGCCCAAACTTGATTATCCTTACAAATAAGCAAATAATCTGGCCTTAGAAGCCCGTTTTTATTACAGCTTGCTAGTAAAATTCCCCAGATTGTTTTCTGGCCTTTTTTTTCGTGCTTAATATAGAGGTGTATGATTTTCCAGTAGTGAATTTAAAGTCAACAGAAAGCATATAAAATATTCCCAAACATATTAATGTGATGGATGCTTTTACAGTAAATGTAAGCTAGTCTTCTTATCATTTAGTTTTTAAAAAAACTTTTTAAATGCTTATTAAAGTATATATTAAAGCTGATGCCAGGCATCAGGCAATTGTGATAAGTTTTTACAAGTTTAAAATAAAAACCAATGATAAAATCCACTATATATAAGTAGGTAATGAACAATTGTCACTTATTTGTAATTATATTAAAATATAATCATTTATATATATAGTCCAGACGGCAATAACAATTTTAGTGCAAAAAGAATATATACAACTAGAAGCTGATCTTGCTTTTCAACGCAACAAATTGTTGAAAGAATGCCTGATTGAGAAAAGCTTCTATAGCTAACATAATTGTTGTTCTAGCTCACATTTATTACAAATATATTATGTGTCAGTCAGTATACTAAAACCTTTCTGAGCATTAGCTTATTTCATATACTAGACTTTCCATATAATAAATGAATAAGAGACAAAATCGCATGCTCACTGCAATGTGTATATTATGAGCATGTATATTTCTGTCTTAAAACTACCATAGACTGGCTTATATAGATCAGAAATGTATTTCTGACAGTTCTTGAGCCAGGGAAGTCCACGATCAAGCCACCAGTAGATTTGATGTCTTGTGAGGGCCTGCTTCCTGGTTCATAGACCAGGTGGAATGGGTGAGTGGTCTCTCTTGGGCCTTTGGTAAGGGCCTCTTTTATTTTGAATTGAGCAAAAGAGCATAGCAGTATCCTGGGCAGTGTTGAGTGCTAATTTGAAATTATGATCATAAACTTATAGTGCTACCAACTAATCTAATATTTAAAAATTAGAATATTTGAGTATTTCTCCAACAATGCTTGTCTGATAGGGCGCTTACTCATCTGAAGTAGTATATTGGGAATAGTCAAGGTTAGAGTGTGATTAAAATGTAAAGGAAAAGATGTTCATAAATGGATCCATTTCATGAGGGGCTCTCCTCTCGTGACCTAATCACCTTGCTAAAGACTCTTGAGTGTTAAGATTTTAACATATGAATTCGTAGGTGTGGGTACAAAAACTTTCAGCTTATAGCAACTTACTAACTGCATGAGCATTTCTCTTAAGCAACTCTGCCATTAACCGCTACCATTAACCACTCCTCAGTAACAATTAAGCAGGTCTCTGACACACTGTTCTTCAAGATTTTGGTTTAAATAATCTGAACTCACTTTTTATATCATATACAGTAATTTCATATAGAACCCAATTCATGGAATAGATGAGAGTGGTACAGTTCTGACAGAAATCAACTTCCCTTTGCCTGCTGTGGTGGCTCCTGTCCCACTGCTTGAAAAAGAGTATTTGGAATACTGATTACATTAATTCCAAGAACGAACTCTAGTGAATTCTCCCTCTTTAAAGAAAGTAGAGAATTATGTTTTTCTGCTGAAAACAACTTTATTTCTGCTAATAGAGAAAAATAAAATAGCCATAGAAATTAACTGCAGATACTTTTTTAATGATTCACACAACTTTCCGACAGCCAAATGGATATGGCTTTAGAAGACCTTGTGACTAAGAAAATGCAGTTTTTCTTAATTTTTTAAAATATTGAAACACAAATGATTTAATTTAAATGTATTTACTTCACTGTATTTTGCTTAATAGAAGACAAAAATTACAATATAGCCTTACCCATTTAAAAATCCCTTGAAGATGTGAGGTTTCATTAAAATGTATAAATAAAAAGCTGTAATTTTCTAGCAGGCTTGAAAGTAGTCTCTACAGCAACATTTGAAAAAAGTAGCTAAAACGAAATTTTAAACTCGGTTTGAAATAACATAAAACCTGCCTTTTACAAAATTTGCGCTTTTTGTGGCCTGATATCTGATATTTTTATTTAAAGCATTATCTCCTGAATATATTGGCTAATACAAAATGTTAAAAGAAATAAAGTAACCATTATAGTATCATAAAATCATTTCAATATTTTCAATTAAGATATCCAAAGCTATAATTTTAATAATATTTTCATCCATTTATGAACATCTTTTCCTTTTCATTTTAATTGCACCCTAAACCTGACTATTCCCAATATATTACCTAAGATGAGTAAGCACCTTATCAGCCAAGGGTTGTTAGATAAATGTTCAAATATTCTAATATTTAAATATCAGAATAGTTGGTAGCACTATAAGTTTATGATCATAATTTCAAAGTAACACTCAACACTACCCAGGATCCTGCTACGTTTTTTTGCTCAATTCAATCTTCCACTATCTACAACAGTGGTTCACAAGGTGGGGTCCATGGACAAGCAAGGACTTCATCAACGTGGAATTTGTTACGAATGCACATTATTGGCCTCATCTGGACCTACAAATAACAAATTCTGGACTTTGAGCCTAGCAATCTGTGTTTTAATTCCTTTATGTTTGATGTTTGTTTTCATGTCTATCCCTTCTACTCTCTTAGTAAATTTATCCTTTTAGATATCCTTATTCTCTTACATAATCAACCTTCTTCCCCCTGCATCTGCATATTTGCTATTGGCTTTTGCATATTTTCTCTTTTATTAAAAATGTAACAAGTACTCTCCTATCAAAAGCAAACTTCAATACTTACTGTTTCCATTTTTTAATCTTGTATTCATTATTCAACCCAATAAACTCTGTCTCTCATCCTCATCAAGCTGGAAAATTGTTCTTCAATCTCACTAATGAGGCTCATGTCGGCATCAAGGGTAATTTTTAATTTTTTCAATTTCCTGTCAATAGTTGCTTGTTCTTTCTTGATATCATCCTGCCTTTCATTTTTAAAATTTTTAGGTGACTTTAAAGGGAAATGTTAAGAAATTATTGGACATATCTGGGTCTTGTTATGAAGAAAGCAGTCCAAAAATTAACTATAGCTTTTTGAGTCATTTACATGTCTTTGGTAATTGAGGCTATGTATGTGTGACATTGCCTAAGGAGGAAATACAGAATGAAATGAGAAGACTATTAACTTGAACTATAAATTGTGAGTCATCTGCATGTTTGTGGTAATTGGAGCTATGTGTGTATGAGATTGCACAGAAATTACAGGCTGAGATGGGAAGAATCCTAAGAGCCAAAAAGTGAAGATGCTTAAAATGAGTAGCTGGGTAAAGAAAAATAAACCTATAATTTTCTTTAGTGCATTCTTTGTCCTGAACCCAGCTGCTCAGTTTTGGAACCCAGGCATTTCAAAATCGAATGACCAAAAGCAAATCTGTAATCTTTCCTTCTAAACCTGGCACATGTCTAACTTTCTTTTTCTTTTTGTTTTCCAACTTTTATTTTAGATTTAGGTGGTACATGTGCAAGTTTTTACCTGGATATATTGTGTGATGCTACAGCTTGGGGTACAAATGATCTGTCACCCAGGTACTGAGCATGATACCAAATAATTTTCAACCCTTGCCCCTCTCCCTCCCTTCCCCCTCTAGTAGTCCCCAGTTTCTATTATTGCCATCTTTATGTCCACAAATTCACATTGTTTAGTTCCCACTTGTAAGTGAGAACATGCAGTATTTGGTTTTCTGTTTCTGCATTAGTGCCCTTAAAATAATGGCCTCTGGCTGCATCCATATTGCTGCACAGAACATGATTTTGTTCTTTTTTATGTTTGTATACTATTCCATGGTATACATGTACCACATTTACTTTATCCAGTCCATTGTTGATGAGCCACGTGGGTTGGTTCCATCTCTTTGCTATTGTCAATAGTGCTGTGATGAACATATGAGTGCATTTGTCTTTTTGGTAGAAAAATTTATTTTCCTTTGGACACATACCCGGTAATGGGATTGCTGTGTCAAATGATAGCTCAACTATTGGTTATTTGAGAAATCTGCAAACTGCTTTCCACAGTGGCTGAACTAATTTACATTTCCACCAGCAGTGTATAACCATTCTGTCTTCTTTGCAACCTCACCAGCATCTGCTGATTTTGACTTTTTAATAATAGCCATTCTGACTAGTGTAAGGTGGTATCTCATTGTGGTTTTGATTTGCATCTCTCTGATGATTAGTGATGTGAGGCATTTTTCTAAATAGCAAAATGGCACTATTAATTCTTTTTCAGAAGCCAGACATCTAGTTGTCATTACTTTGGCTGCCTAACAATTCTTAGAGATAATTTATTGTGAATGAATATCTGGGCTGTTTGACTGGAATACTTCTCAAACCAATCCCTTCTCTCCATGTCTACTACTATCACTCCCATGAGTGACAGTAAAGTCATTCTGTTGGGGTCCCTTATAAAGTCTCTCTCCATTAATTCTTCAGAATGTAACAGATTATACATTCTGAGTGCAAGTCTTATCATACAATTCTTTGGCTTAAAGTATGTTAATGGTTTTCCATTACATTTCAAATATAGACCAAAACCAATTAATACGACAAAGCTTCACATGGTGTGGACCCTACTTTTCCTTATAGTCCCTTCTTATTCTCTGTTTCTTTCTTTCTCTTAATTTCGACCATACTTTCCTTATTTTAACCTCATAAACTCATCATTCTACCTTATTCATAAGGTTTTTTTCTCAGAGGAATCTCCGGGGTATAACAAAACCATACCTCTTCTTCTTCAGATAATCCCTTTATTTCCGTTATGTCTCCACTCAAATCCCAAAATAATAATATGTGACTTGCCAAGTAATATTTGCAAAGTGACCATTTTCCTGCTTCAAATCATTTGAATAATATATAGATTTTATATAATTAGTTTAAACCTGTATCCAAGCATTTTGATTTAAGAATTACAGGAAATTATGAGGATAGATTACATTTTCACTTAATCTGCTTTATACATTATGTACACAATTTTGTACATATAGGATTTTACTGATATGGCTTTTACACATTTATTCACACTGGGGTTGAACTCATTGCTTATATTTTATTTTCATATATTTCTAGGTACCACTTTTATCTTATAAAGTAAGCACTATACAATTTTGCTTCCAATATGTTATCTGTCTTACAGGGGTGCAGTAACATTTTGTAGCATAAGCAAATATATTTGACAAATTGTCCAAAAAATATGATGCGCTAAACATTTGGAATTTTTACTTTTTTTTAAATACAATATCGGAATTCTATGCTGAATAAAACAATATTTTTGAAGAAGTTTGTCCTTAAAATATTTAGGTAACATTATCACATAATGGAATAATCCTCCTCTAGGAGTTAAAATTACATGACTAAAAATATTTACTGAGCAACTGTTGAGAACAGAAGATGTGCAATATTCAAACAAATAAAATTGATGTTACACAGTTCTTGTCACAAAAGCATAGATTCATCTGCCTTGGATACCACTACTTCCTGTTTTAGAGAGAGTGTAAATTAATATTGTTAATGTTGCTATATATTTTTTCTCTGTAAAAATCTTGAAGCCTGGGAATGATATGATTTCTAGAATCCAAACATTGAGATCAGTCCACTGTGTTAACTGGCATGAGAGAAGAATTTTTAAAAAGGCAAAGCTGCAAAAATCTGCTCTGTGGATTTTTTATCTTTATGCCATATATTTTCTCTAAATGATCTCCTGTATCTTCATGTATGATTGCTTTGGTAACATCTCTTGATTTCACATTTCCTTGGCTCCAGATGCATATGTGTGTGTACATATTGAAAATGAACTCCAGGATATCTTGTCAATAACTCAAAAGAATACGCCAAAAATATTATTTCCTTAACTTTTCAACTTATTCACTATAATTGGTATTATTTAAGGTTGTCTTAGTATAATCTGGATATCATTCTTAAAGCTTTTCTCTCCCCTTTTCAATGTTTTATTTTTCATAAGTCCCATCAATATTAACACCAGACACAAAGGTGGAAAGAACCTCTTCTGCAATACTCTTCTGTAATAGAATTGCTCTTCTGCAGTGCTATTACCACTATGATAGCTAAGTCCTACAAAATGTTTCTCCTCATATAATCCAATGTTTAAAACATGGCCTTCTTGCTTCTACTCCATGCTGTCTTATATTATCAACTACCATTAGCTTTATAAAAAATCCATTACACTATCTTACATGAAATCTCTGCTGGATTTTCATTTGTTAAGTTTAAACTCATAGTTTGTCAAATAAATAAAAAGGATAGACATACTAATCTAGTCTTTCGTAAACTGTAAAACATAGACTCAAGACATCACTTTGAAACCTACCTCCAGCAAATTTCATGCTCATTTTATTCTGTAAATCTAAGTGTTTCACTGACTTAATAAACTTTATTACCTTCATTAAACATGTGGGTAGTTTCCTTTGTCCTCGGTAAAGAAACCAGTTCTTTACCTAACCAATCCTCTTTTCATTTTCCTTAAAAACAAAACAAAACAAAGCAACAATTTTGTTAATCTATTCCAGGGGTGGTAACTGCCAACAAGATTGCACATATCTTCTCTTATTGGTATCCATCAGTCAATGTGGTCCCATTCTCTCCTCAAAAATGAATTTACCAAAGCGTTGGGTCTCACTTCTGGCCAGTGCATTGGGAAGGATTACTAAGAACTCATGGAGAAGGATTCTCTACTGCTAAGAAAGATATTGAGGCAGAGAAGTGTCTGTTCATATCCTTTGCCCACTTTTTGATGGGGTTCTTTGTTATTTTCTTGTAAATTTGTTTGAGTTCATTGTAGATTCTGGATATTAGCCCTTTGTCAGATGAGTAGATTGCAAAAATTTTCTGCCACTCTGTAAGTTGTCTGTTCACTCTGATGGTAGTTTCTTTTGCTGTGCAGAAGTTCTTTAGTTTAATTAGATCCCATTTGTCAATTTTGGCTTTTGTTGCCATTGCTTTTGGTGTTTTAGACATAAAGTCCTTGCCCATGACAGCATGCACATGTATGCTTATTGCGGCACTATTCACAATAGCAAAGACTTGGAACCAACCCAAAAGTCCAACAGTGATAGACTGGATTAAGAAAATGTGGCACATATACACCGTGGAATACTATGCAACCATAAAAAATGATGAGTTCATGTCCTTTGTAGGGACATGGTTGAAGCTGGAAACCATCATTCTCAGCAAACTATCACAAGGACAAAAAACCAAACACCACATGTTCTCACTCGTAGGTGGGAATTGAACAATGAGAACACATGGACACAGGAAGGGGAACATCACACACCGGGGCCTGTTGTGGGGTGGGAGGAGGAGGGGAGAGGGATAGCATTAGGAGATATACCTAATGCTAAATGATGAGTTAATGGGTGCAGCACACCAACATGGTACATGTATACGTATGTAACAAACCTGCACGTTGTGCACATGTACCCTAAAACTTAAAGTATATATATATAAAAAATAGATATTGAGGCAGAGAAGGCAACTTCTATCTATGGGTATGAATGTGTTTTCACTTCAACTGCTTTACACGTGGTATTACTTAAAGGAATTTTGTACATGTGGCTTCAGTAGTCTCTCTATATACACGGTTTTTCCCTTGGTGAGACTGGAACAATACTCTTTATTTCATTTTCATATATTTCTAGACATATTTTAACTCTTAAATACACATTTTAAAATTTATTTTACACATTGTTTTACATGTCATCTGTCTTAAAGGAATACCATAAAAATTTTTTGTTTTCCTATCTCTGGATGTTGTTATGTCTGAAAATGATGCCTAAAACTGCCTGAGAATGACGCTGAGTTGGCATACAACTCTTACTACTGTAACTTAATTTCTTTTATGTAATACAATAAATTTACTGTTTTTGAAGCAATTTTTGCATTGGGATTTTCTGTTACTTATAGCCACGAGCATTCCAGTAGCTTCTTAGTAAACAAATCTGATTCAATCAGGTGTCTTAGTTTCCCTCCTCCCACATGACACTATTATTGAATAACAGAGTTTCTCACTAGTCTTTGTGTTAGTCTTCCTTGATATATTACACATTGACCCTGGTCCTGGTTATTTTTCTCCTTATATACTTCGTGATTCCCATTAATTTTTTCAAGATGTATTCCAAATAACACTTATCACCCCCCTGTGAAACTACCCTACTCCCAGGCAGGTAGTTTTCACTTCTCTTCACCAGCAAAGGTTTTATTCCTCTTTATTCACAGTCACTATGACCTATTTTCTTTCCTTTTCTTTTTGTATTTTAAAGACATTTATTTTAGTCTATCCGCCACACCAGAATTTGGCACTTTGAGATATAGTAGACATTTAGTCAATATTTGTGTAATTATTCATTTAAAGGACAGCAAGTATTTAGAAAATTATTAAATATCATGCCGGCGCAGTGGCTCACGCCTGTAATCCCAGCACTTTGGGAGGCCGAGGCTGGCGGATCACCTGAGGTCGGGAGTTCGAGACCAGCCTGACTTACATGGAAAAACCCCGTCTCTACTAAAAATACATAATTAGCTGGGCATGGTGGCATATGCCTGTAATCCCAGCTACTCGGGAGGCTGAAGCAGGAGAATCGCTTGAACCCGAGAGGCGGAAGTTGCGGTGAGCCTAGATCACGCCATTGCACTCCAGTCTGGGCAACAGGAGCGAAACTCCGTCCCCCCTCCCACCCCACCAAAGAAAAAGGAAAGAAAATTATTAAATATCTACTAATACGAGTCTCATGTTTAATTACTCTATAAACATTTGTATGCTCTCTCGACAAACTAAGTACTCAAAAAAGAATGACTATGGCTTTGAAAAATGTCTCCACTAAACGAGGTAAAAACTTCTAATAAGAACTGTTCTCACAATTGCTGACTTTTTGAAAGAGGACAAGAACTGTTATCTGAGAATAGAGCTATGAAGGGACTAGTTAATGTTCCAATGAAAATTCCTAGGAGGCTGATACAGTCCATTAAAATGAGGGGTATTTGGTCACTTCACAGAATTACTTTAGAGAAAACCTCAGGTCTTGAGGAGTTTTTTGGAAGACTAGGAAATACCAAGGATTACACAATGCTGGTTAAGAGTGACTTATAACTTTTTTATATAAAGCTATTAAGTATTTTTAAATATACTTATTATTAACATAAATATATATTATGTGAGTAATATAAGAGATTTTCAATATTGACATATTCATTCCTTTTACCTAAAATCTGCAATAGAAAGTAAAGTTTTCTATGATAGAAATTGTTAATTAAAGGAAGGCATGATTACAAGCTATAAAATATTTGGTTTTGAATGTATTTTTTATATTTATCTTACTATGAAGTCAAATAATATTATCATTAAATTAATATTTTCATAGTTAAAAATTGAACTTCCTTAATTCTAATAACTAAAACTCGCATAGTTTTAAAAAATTATTATTGTTGCTTTTAGAGATGAGGTATTGCTCTATTGCTCAGGCTGGTTTCAAATTACTGGCCTCACGTGATCCTTCCACCTCAGTCTCCTGAGTAGTTGAGATTACAGGCATAAGCCGCCATGCCAGGCTCCTAAAAGCGTATACAATCTTAAATCCTAAGAGATAACCAGTGTGCCCATTTCATTGCTAAGTAAATATACATAATAAATAAAGAAAATGTATCATTTCTAAAATAAGTCACTATGCAGAGTGCTACTACAGTATGAAAATATTCATGAAACACAGTCCCTAGTATTACCTAATGTCTGAGTGGGAATACAAAAATAAATACAAAATTGATGAATAATTCAAATCACCGTATAATAAGCGTGAAATGACATGATTGCAGTCAGGGTAGAGTCTTAACAGTAAAAATACTCAGTAACATTTTTCTTTAATCATCTTGGCTCCCTATTGAAATTTTACTATGGTAAATGATATAATAGTCTTATTGTTTCAGATAGTAGTTGAGCTGACTTACTCTTTACTAATAGTGATAGTCATGCAAATGACGGTATATCTGTAATATCAAGTTAATTATATACTTTTTTGTTTCAATTTAGTTTCCAAGTACATGGATAGTATTTAAAATATTGTCTTAAAGCTTTTCTGTTTTGTTTTGTTCTACTACTCACCTTTAATCTCCCCCTTCTCCCTTAGATAACAACCTGCTCTATAATTTGTTAATATAGAGCAATGCTGTGGCAGAGTTGAACGCACACACATACACACGTCGAAATGATATGTAATGTTTAGATCCACAATGTATACATGTAATGATTATATTACACAGCACATATATGCAATATGTGTACATAATGCATAAATATATATATATATGTATGTGTGTGTGTTTATATCTATGAAGTAGTGTCCCCTAATTCATACAGGATATGTTCCAGGGCACCCAGTGGATGCCTGAAACCATGAATAGTATTGAACCCTATACACACTCTGTTTTTCCTATACATACATACTATAATAAATTTTAACTTATAAATAAGGCATAGTAAGAAATTACCAAAAATAACTACTGATAAAATAGAAAAAATATAGCAATATAATGTAATAAAAGTTATGTGAATGCGGTCTCCCTCTCTCTATGAAAATATTTTATTTTGCTGTACTCATCCTTCTGGTGATTTGTCAATGTGATAACTTAGATGGCTACTAACTACAGGGTGGGTAGCATATACAACATGGATTCGCTGGACAAAGAGATGATTCATGTCCTGGACAGGACAAAGCAGGATGGCATGAGATTTCATCACATTACTCAGAACAGGGCACAATTTAAAACTTATGAATTCTTTATTTCTATTGTACATTCTTCCATTTATTTAACATTTTTGATAGTGATTGAGTGTGGGTAACTGAAATCACAGAAAGTGAAACTGTGACTAAGGAGAGACTGATGTCCTTATATATATTTAATAATTGTCTTTTATTGGTTAGAATCATCTTTCTAAATATTAATACCATTGTATTAATATATAATCCATGAGGGCAGAATCTATGGGTTCAACTATTTATATACATGCATTTTAGTGTTGCTGAATACATTACAGATACTCATTGAATATTAGTTTAGTTGGAACAAGACATTATTGCTACAGATATTTGTTACAACATTGAACAAAATAATCAACAACAGTTTCATGTACAGCCCTTATCTATTACAAGTGGGTTTAGTTTTATCTTTTCATGGTATAAAGGGATTTTAGGAAACCCTCCTATGATAAAAATGTATCTTGTTTTGCTGCTAGCAGAAAAAAAGGTAGAAAATATAGATCTATTAAAGAATCTGATTGGGGCATTTTGTTAAACCAATTTTTTTGTTTGTTTGTTTTTAGAAACAGTGTCTTGGTTTGTTGCCCAAGCAGGCAGGCATGCAGTGAAGCAATGAAGACTCATTGCAACCTTGACTTCCAGGGGTGAAGCAATCATCTTGCTTCAGCCTCCTGAGTAGCTGAGAGTACAAGTGTGAGCCACCATGGCCAGCTAATTTTTATTTTTTTATTTTTGTTGTTTGTAGAGACAGGGTCTTGCTTTGTTGCATAGGCTTATCATCTCAAACTCCTAGACTTCAAGCAATCCTCCCACCTTGGCATCCCAGTGTGTTGGTATTATTACAGGCGTGAGGCACTATGATTGGCCACCAACCTAATTTTGATAGCAAGAATGATTTGGGAAATGTATAGAATATCTGAAAGTTCTAAATTAAATATCCACAGACAATATTACCTATGGAAATATATTGCTTATGAAATTGCACCAGTGGTCTTCTTATCTCATTTTTTTTAACAGAGATATTAGCCTATGGGAAATATCCTTTCAGCCCATGCCTTCTTATTACCAGTAGGCTCTTATAGCTATCATGCCCACCTTGATTTTGGCAATTAACTATGTTACTTGGCCTCTGCTATTCTGGGAATCTATGCTGACAATGAAAATCAGCAAACCCATTTCTAGGCAGCATCCCAAATGGTCCTATCTAGCCTACAAAAGAGAGCAACTAAGGGGCTTTCAAGGAAGTATCTGCTCCCTTCACTAAGGAATTTTTAATGCCTAGTGAAGGGAATGTCTCTGTACCTTCTTACAGAATATAGTGAGAAGGCAAAAGAAACATCATAACTCCCAAATTCCTACATGCTTAAGGTTTTGGAAACCCTCATTTATATCATCCCAGGTAAGTTCCAGCATCTCAAGCTCATTAAATGTAGGCCACCACTGTGTCCAAGTTTTATTCATCAGAATAATAAGCTACCTGAGCCACCTTCAGTGTATGAGGTAATACACGAGATTCAGAATCTCTAGTAAGTTCACTTACATAAATAGCATGTTTTCCTTCTTCATTTGGCTAACATGTTCCCAGTTTTCTGCAGATATATTAGCCAAGTCTTGACATTATTTTGGTGTCTAAGTTTTCTCCTTTTGGGTGGGTAATATTAAGTATCTTTCTCCTTGGAGCATCGTGAGTTTTAGCACTGTTATGTATCTCCTAGTAACAGGCAACAGGCTGTGATTGAGGTAAGTCTTGATTAGAATTGGTACCTATCTCCTTTTCAGGACATAAGATTTTCAAGCAAAGAATTCCAGTTTTATCAGACACAGGAGGGTCATTCACTTCCACTGACAAATGAGGCTCAGGGTGATATAAAGGAGTAAGATGATTGGTTTCATCTGGCTCTACCAGATGTTTCCATTACAAGTTTTAGCGTGTTTTAACCTATACCCTAACTTTAATGTAGATATTTGGTGAGACAGAAGCCAACTAACATTGTAACTCATCAGTCCGCACAATTACATTTTTTATATTTGATTTTTTCTTCATATTTTATCTTTAATTTTTGTGTGTGTGAGAGAGAGAGAGGGTCAGGGTTTCGCTCTGTCATCCAGGCTGGAGTGTAGTGGTGTGATCTCGGTTCAGTGAAGCCTCGACCTCCTGGGGTTCAAGCAATCCTCCTACCTCAGCCTTCTGAGTAGCTGGGATTATGGGCATGCACCACCATGCCTAGCTAATATTTTTGTTTATGTAGAAATGGTGTTTCACCACATCTTCCAGGCTTGTCTCAAACTCATGAGTTCAAGTGATCCATGCCCCCTTGGCCTCCCAAAGTGTTGAGATTACAGGCACAAGCCACTGTACCTAGATATATCTTTGATTTTTTGGCAATAGCAGACCTGTGACTACTAGAAAAATACTACTATTATTCTTTTATATTTTCTCAAGCAAGTACCCTAAATTTCATACTGTGAATTGGGGTGAGAGTTAAGGAACGTGACCTTGTCATTTACTTTCTATTAACCCTGCAGTTCATACAGAAGAATCCATCTCATACCACAGTCCTCATAAGTTCTTGAAGCAATCTCTACTACAATGACAGTGACGTAAGCAGTCACTTGCACTCCCTAGGCAGTTACTTTAGTGGCAATTCAGCACAATTTAACACAGATGATAGTTTGATTAATTGTGTTGCCACTGAATGTCCTGGATTATTAGCATCCAAATTACAATTATCGAGGAATTTAGCAGTATGTTCAAACCCAAGGACATAACCAAACTCATCCCAAATTCCCATCTTCATCAGAGTGTGTTCTGGGACCGCTACTACTACCAATTCTGTATCAGTCAGGGTCCATTCAAGAGAAAGAAACTAGACAGTGTATTTGAATAGGGGGAGTTAATAAATAATGAATATTTATTAACTAGTAATAAAGATTAACTAATAAGGTGTAAATAGAACTTTAGAGAATAAGGAAATATTAGATAAAGGGAATAGCCACTACCAATGTGGCTGAGACAGAACACTCAAGGAAGGAAATTTTTTGAAGGACATTCCCCTACACATAGCTAAGATTCAGATCTGATTGGAGGTGGTGTGGCTGTAGCCACTGAATAGTAGAAAATTTTACTATGTTACTGAAAGCAAAGGTAGGCAAGCAGAAAATTCTGGGCTGGGCTGTCAATTGCAAGCTGGAAACTCTCCAGGAAGTTGCCCAAAGAGTTGCTGCTGAGCTAACGAGACGACAGTTGTAATACTTGCAAAACTGATTGGGAAGCTGCTTGTGATCGTGTGACTGAAACTTACTGCAGGTGGTCACCACTGAGTGCTTAGCATGCTGCCCAATTAGCATGCCAGCTGGCAAAATACAAATGCTTATAAATTCAAGCTCTCATATTGCAAGCAGGGCAATAAAAAGTGTATTTGGAGCTGAGAGAAAATAAATTAATAATTGGCACAGAAGCCAAATCAGAGTTGGTCTACCTGTTTAAATTAATTAACAGGAATTTTGAAATAACGATGATAAGCATGTCGAAAAAATAGTGAAAAATGTAATCGTGTAAAAACTATGTATATACATATGTAGAATAACATTAGTAATAGAGAAAATATTTTTAAACCATATGGAAATTTTAGAATAAAAATGCAATATAACAAATAAAGATGAACAATTACTTAATGGAGGCCTGGCACAAGTAGATTAATATTTCAACAAAATGGATGACAAGTCAATAGGAATTAGAAATTATCCATAAAAAAAGTGAACAAACCAAAAAAATGGAGAAAGAATGCAAAGACTTCTGAGTCTGTAAATAATATCAAATGGTCAAACATGGATTTTGGAATTCCCAAAAGAGAGAGGAGTGACAATTTTGCAGAAGATGTATTTAAATATGTAGTGGCTAAGCATTTTTAAATAATTTTGAAATGTCAGTTCCCTTTAAATCAGTCTACAAATTTATTACAATCCAATGCAATCTCAGTAGAATTTGTATAGAGATTTTGCAAGATGAATTATAAATGTATATTAAAATGATTTATTATAGCTAAAAAAAATCTTTAAAATGGAAGAATTACACTACTTAATTTTAAGTCTTATTATAAAGCTACGATGACCAAGACAAATGAATAGTTTAGAAATAGACCTGGATATATAGTCAATTGTTTTATGATGAGGCACTCAATCAAGTCAACAGGTGTACAAAAAATCTTTTGAACAATGGTGTTAGAAAAACTGGATAACTGTGTGGATAAAATGAAACTTCAATTTCTATCTCAGTACATGTACAAAAATGAATTTGAGATAGATTTTACATACAAATCAAAAAAACTAAAATATAAAACTTATAGAGGAAAATACACAAGGATATTTTCTTGATTTTAGAGATGTAAAAATTAACACAGAAAACAAAAAATACTAATGAAAAGAAGCAATCTAATAATGATAATTCTGGTCATCAAAATATAAATAAAATTTGTCCAGACACTGACATACAGAAGAATGTATATAAGTCTTCATAGTAGATGTAAATTTGAAATAATGCAAATATTCATCAACAGAAAAAAGGATAACATTTTGCTATATGTCCAACAATAAAGAGAAATGGACAACTATACACACAAATATATGATTGAGTTTCCACAACTATTACATTGATAAAAAGAATCTTTGTTCTACCCATATAGAAGAAAAGTTATATATGTACATATATATAGAATATATATGTATGAGAACTATATATACCCTATATACATAGTCTTCTTATTTATTATATAGAATAGTCTTATTTCATATATATAGGGTATATATAATTCTCATATATATGAGTTCTCCATATATCCTCTCATATATATATTCTCATATATATGAGATTCAAAGTCAAGTAATTTAAATATCCTAAAGCAGTTGCCTCCAGCAACAGAAAGGGTGACTTGTTTCCAGTGATGTGAGGAAGGTTTATGAAAGAAATGGTTTATATTTTGTTTTGCATGGTGGTTACACAGATTTAAGGAACTGTCAAAACTCAGCAATTATTCATTAAACCAACTACTTAAAATCTTTGCATTTTATTTCATGTGAATTTATCTCAGTAAAAAACAGAAAATAAAACCCCTGCACAAAGCAGTAAAAAATATATTATTGAAAATATCAAACTTTATTCAAAGGAATCTTTTTCCCTTCATTCTCCTGGTTATAACCTGTAATGAGCAATTCCCCAGTTTGGAGAAATGAGATATATTTAATTGTAAGATTTCAGTCTTCCTCTCCTTTTACCTCTGTCTTTCCATATTTGTTGATTTAGGTTTCTGAAATTTTCAAAATAGTGAAAGAAAAGAGTGATAAATGAATAATGTAATTTTTGTTTGACTGGTTGACTTTTCACTTTCTAATGGCTAAAATATTTCAGAAGAATCCTTTTTCTTTTCTTTTTCTTTCCAACTCAAAGACATTTTTTGGACTGTGTAAAGCTACCTTGGCTTAAAATATACATAATCTTGAGTCTCTATCTTGATAGCTTGGTTTATCTGGCCACCCTCTTGTTCCACAGTCACAGTCTTGTGTCCAAGATGTCAAATGGTTTCAGTCCGGCTTTGTCTCGCAAATGGTTCGCATTTACAGAAGGTTACTTCTATAACCTTCATCTCAAAACTATCTGAGAAGCCGTTCTCTATACAGCCAACTCTGTCCAGTTTTTAGTTGCAGCTTTAGCTCTGTTAGGCACGAGTCAAAGAAACAGACTTCTGGGTCCTCTAAACGAAGACCATGTGTTTCAAAAGCTTAAGGGAATCCCTGGGAGTTTTCATCACCGCAGTGTGAAGGAGGTAGCTCCAACCTCTCCTTTCTCACTCTCCAAGAAAATCTGTTTAAGCTATCCTATCCCCGCTGTTCACTCTGTTCAATCAACTTCCTCATATTCTGGGTGAGAGATTCTAGAGTACTGAAAACAATTAAATACATTTTATTACATTAATGTTTTGAGATATGTCTATATCCATTTCAATATTACAACAATATCTATAGCTATAAATTGAAATCAGATGCAACAGATTGAAATTAGGTGATTGTGGATGAGATGGATCATGCCTTATAACACATGTTGAACTAAATTGGGATGATTATAATTGGATGACATGATACCTATTATGTGACTTAATACTTTTTCATAAGTATTTTTGTTATTAAATATATTTAAAAATGTTTTCATTGACTACAAAACAATACTTTCATTGGGTAGACATAGTACTTTTGTGTGTCTATGTGTGTGGTAGTATTAATGTTGTAATTATTTTCATATTCATAGATATTCAAGCTATTTTCCATGGGTTTGTCATACATGACTCTCTTATTTCTTAAAATTCCAGACTATGGAAAGAAAAGTAACAACCAGTGGTGAGAGAGAATCAAAAATCGCTATTTTGGTAAGAGAGTTACGATGTTTTAACCACTGCTTCCCTCACTCTTTAGGATTTTCTCTCTGATTAAACAAAACAATCTAACACAATTCTGATATTAGTCATTTACCTTTTAATAATACTGAATTTTCAATTTAAATTTTGCTTGACTTTTTCATTGGAGATTTTTCATGATATGCTATGGATACCTGAAAATCAGACATGGATAGACTTCACTTTGATGACCACAAGCTTACATTTTAATGGTTTTCATAGCAAATGAACCATCAGTTATATTATGCATTGAATCAAGTTTTAATATATATTTTATTTTCTAACTACAAGTTTTAAAATGTCTCCTTTTATGAAAAATATATTCAGAGTTCAAGCAACTGATTTTAAAATATAATTTTGATATGTGCTTTAGTCATATGTTGGAGACTACCTATTATTTAATTGTTTCTCTAGAGCCATAACTGGCAATGCAGAGATACCAACTTGCATGAATAAAAGAAAATGGCAAATGGAGACTGTGGACAGGGCAAGCTAAAACTAAACCTATGAAGAATGTATTAAAGTAATTAAACCTCTATCTTGTTAGACTAAAACTGTTTCACATAGATAATTGACTATGATAAAAACAATAACATATAACACTTAGGTAGATTTTGATGACATTACCTTGATCTTACCTTAAACTTTAATGTAACAAAAAGATACATTAGACTGAGAATGAGAAAAGCAAATACAATAAAAATATATCATATTTCAACATTAGAACAAAGTCTTGATATGCTAATCTTTTGTAGAATATACAGAAGGGGTAGTACTACAATATATTTAGTTATTTGGTGATGCTGTCGAATCTTGGATGAATCGAAATCTTTCCTTATGACAATGAGCTCATATCAAATCAAACTTCAGAAAGCAGCAAGCAAAGTCATGCCAGTGTTCCCATTTGTGCAAAGCCTCCTATTAGGTCAACAATAGGTTTTACATTCCAAGATGGTAGAATGAGTAAGTATTCAGTTAACATGGTTAGTACAAAGTGAATTTATTTTCTATTAGTTTTATTTAGTTATTTTAACCAAAGTCTTAATTTT
This sequence comes from Homo sapiens, assembly GCF_000001405.40. Lineage (NCBI taxonomy): Eukaryota > Metazoa > Chordata > Mammalia > Primates > Hominidae > Homo > Homo sapiens. The sequence goes on from NC_000005.10 coordinate 85,147,546, forward strand.
CCTATGAGAATGTCTCAGGGATAAGGAGAGATGTTTCAATACTCATAGAGGAATAAAATATATTTTAAGTAAATTATCTTGAAGAAAGAATCCAATGACATTGTCTAAATGCTTCAAATATTTATTCTGATAATAAAGACAACTAAATGATTGCTAACCAGATAGTGTCTCCTTTTTAGATGAATTACCAAATATTATGACTATCTTAATAACGTACTTAAAGTTTCATGTGAAATATTACAGAAAAAGTTTTTAAAATATTTTGAAACAATTATCATTTAAAAAAGCAATTATTTTCTGTATATTAAGAACACATTGAGTTTCCACATACCAACATAAGAAATAGTTTAAATATAAATTGCCTAATATAATTTTTTAAATTTTACTTATCCCTTTTTATTTTTGTTTATTCACTTTAAGGTTATTTGAAGCAGGAAGATAAATTTAACTACATGTGATAACCATGATAATACTGTAATACAGTTATATAGTACTCTACATTCATCACAAAGCTTCTACAGATACTGATATTCAGCACCTAGGTATGATACATAGTGCTGGATTAATATTTTAATTTGGCATAATGTGAAAAATGAAGCTCAGAGAAGATTTTTACAGGATCATTAAAAGGTGAAAGTAGAAATGTTTGATATATATCTGAGATTAAGATAATCTTCACATTTTATATGAATATATATGCATTATTTTTCAAATAAATTCCATGGTCTTAAGCATGTTTATAGAAGTAGATAAAATATTTAAAATCAGAACTGTGTGGAAAACACTGCATGTGTCACTTTTTCCCTTTTGCCCTTGAAAAACGGTACTTTCTTTACCATTAAAACAAGCACTTACCAAAAATTTGGCTTTTATCAAATAAATATTCATTAATCCATGGATTCACTTATTCAGTTCTCTTCTGTCTCCATAACCTCATAATGAAATTTTCCTACTATAGTGTAAGTTCCACAGAGCAGGAATTTTGTCTGTTTTGTTTGCTGATATATTCTTATCATCTAATAAGGCCTATATGCATTTGTTGAAACTGTTGAAACTTACAAACGAATGAAAAAAAGACAAGAAATGAACTGAGCACACAAATACTTTCTGCTAGCATTTTTTAATTTTTTGAAGCAATTAAAGTTTTAAATCTCTTTGCAGCCTGTAGAAAACTTTCTGTTAAAGGATTAGGTTTCTGACCTACTCCCTCACCTCCTACTCCCTGTGGCAGCCGTATTTGTCAGTTAAACAAGAGATGCATTACTTCTAATTAAAAGAACACATGTTTCAAGATAACCAATAGGTAAAGCAAAGATAAGGTACCAGTGGCTTGATAGATTACCAAGGTCTCCTAAGTAGCCCCCTTTTCTTATCTGTCATGAACATTTATCAAGGGTTTAACATCTGGCCTTGAAGTGTGACCGTGTGACCATAGGGAATCTCAGAGGCTGATTATTTGATAGTGAGATGACATACTTACAGATCTTGACCCTGAAAACTCCAACAGTTTCTTGGATTGTGTAAATGTTATAGTTTTTTGGGAGTTTGAAATATGCCACTCAAAATGACTCCTGATTACTTTTTATTTTTTCAGTCAAAACAGGATAAAATGAGTCTTACAATATAGATTATTGAGTCTGTTTTTGGCTAGAACTGCAGGCACCAGGTCAAATGTAGGTTTTGCTATTCTCATTAACTCTATTAACATTGAGTCACAAGAGAAAAGAGAAATCATGGGGAATTCAATGTGCCATTCAGAGAAAAACAGTGGATCCTGAAAATGTCGTACTCTTGTCTATTACTTTTTACTCAACCGTCTCTCTTCAGTTTCTTCAGGCTGTCATAAAGAACCATTTTCCTTGACACAAAGTTTCATTTGCTAGTTGGAAATTTTGGTTGGACATCCTGAATCAGGTATATAAGATGTTAAATCGTAAGACATTTGTGAGTAGAAGGGTGGGTGGGTGTGTGTGTGTGTATGTGCAAAGATGTTGAAATAGACCATTTAGAATAATAAAATAGTAAACACATAATATATTACTAAGCAATGATCTTCAAGTTAGGGTGCATGAAACTTGGAGTTACTTGAAGACATTCTATGGGAACACAGGAATAGATGGTTTTTAAAATAATTGTTGTCAGACCATACATTCCCATAAATACGCTTCTATAAACTTAATCTTCATGAGAACAAACCAGTCTCCATTCCCTTCTTCCCTTAAGCTATCTCTCGTATCCACTTTAAAAAGACAGGCTAACATTTCCTTCATTCTTAATATTATAATTGTGTGTTGCCATATTTTATAAAGGTCATCCAGGACAATAAAAAAAGATTCAAAATTTTAGTTCAGTTTCCAAAAAGTGAATGACACTTCTGACTCGTAACAAATACTTTTATGTATCATGTGGTTGCAAGATTCTTTGATTTCAACTAATTTAAAGAGAACCTGATAAACGTTTTCACTTGATAAATTATTCAAAATAATTTCCTGGGTAAGATGTCACAATGTAATTTTTTTTATATACAACTCAGAAGACGTCCAAGAAATGTACTGAAATTGCTCTTTAAAAAGTTTTCCCATTCTTATCTGTATTTTTGTTATAATCATTCATAATTATTTATATATACCACAAAGTAGAAATTATATTGATCATAAATTATATGATATTAATCCACATTTTTTTAAGAGATGAGAACTTGCTATTTTGCCCACACTGGACTGGAACTGCTGGGCTCAGGCAATCCTTTCATCTCTGCCTCCCAAGCAGCTGGAACTACAGGCATACGCCAGTGTACCCAGCAGATAATTTTAACAAGGAAAATAAATCCATCTATTTCACCGAGACCTTTTTATAATTAATAATGATAACAATGTATAATAATTTTATCGTTTATGTACTGATAATACCCATTAGGACAATCTAGGAAAAAAGTTGAACTTTGAATCATAAAAACACAGAAAAAGATGATTTTACATGTAGTTTTATTGTAATAAATTATTAAGTTTAATTAGTAAAATACTTGAGGACATAGTTGTATTAGAATACTATTCCATGGGAAAAAAGTTTAAGAAAATAGAAAAAAATTAAGAAGAAAAAAGATGGAAAATGCTTGTCAACAGAGAGTTTTTCAATTATTTTTAAATTGATAATACGCTAATATATCAATATTTGTAATATGCTGGAATTTATAACTTTGCAACTATAAAGTTATGACATAGTTGTATATGTTAACTTAACAAATATGAAAAAGATACCTTTTTGTTGTCCAAAATTCTTTTTTTTTTTTTTTTTTTTTTTGAGACCGAGTCTCACTCTGTCACCCAGGCTGGAGTGCAGTGGTGTGATCTCAGCTCACCCCAACCTTCGCCACCCGGGTTGAAGCAATTCTCCTGCCTTGGCCTCTTGAGTAGCTGGGATTACAGGCATCCACCACTACACTCGGCTGATTTTTGTATTTTTTTATTAGAGACGGAGTTTCACCATCTTGTCCAGGATGGTCTCGAACTCGTGATATCAGGTGATCCACCCTCCTTGGCCTCCCAAAGTGCTGGGATTACAGGCGTGAGCCACAGTGCCCAGCCTGTTGTCCAAAATTCTTTCAGAGATTTGTCAAAAAATGACTGAAAGTCCCTGAGGACAGACACTGCTAATTGTTTGCCACTTCACATTCTTCACCTTCTTGTCATAATATAACTCCTGATGTTATCAAGCTAAATGATGCAGCTGGAGATTCCATTTGCCCCTTCTAATGGATCTAGCTGTGCCTGTGCCACCAACAGAATGTGAGGTAAAGTGGTGTGTGTAACTTCTGCATTGTTACCCCGAGGGAAGTTAGTTGCCTTCTACTTTAGCTCTCAATCTTTCAACCTCTGGTATGTGGCAATGGCTGAGCAGTTATTTTGTACCCCAAAATGAAAATAATACGTGACAGAGAATGAGGCTATCAGTCAACAAGCCCTAGATAGCCTCATCTCTGATTTGTAAAATGAGTGAAATAACCTGTTTAATTTAAATTACTATTTGTAGTGTTTCTTATTGACAGCATCAAATTATACATTCTAAGTAATAGAATGCTACATGGCAATACATGCCGCATAGCAAAATAAATGGAAGGAGAATGCCTATATTATTTAAGATGTTAAAAATGCGAATGTAGTGTAGTACCTGGATATTGTACTGGATTGTACTGGGCATAATGAGCTTGGACTTCAGTCTTCACTTTGACATGATATGACTGTTTTCCTTGGACAAATAATTTTACTTCTCTAAAGCTATTTCCTCAATAAAGGAAACTGATTACATATTTTAAGGTCTTATTAGTTAAATTACAGTGCTTTTTAAAATTTTTGTAGAGAAGACCAGGGAAAGTTTCAAGATAAGTTATTTAAATTGGGCCTTGAAAGATAATGTAATTGATGCCTCTCTAAGATCTAAATCATAGAGTAAAAGTATACATCTCCTGGAGTCCTCTAATAACTTACATAGGGGTAGAATAAATTGAGTTCATAGGACAATCGTATCTAAAGCTGAAATATGTATACTGAATGAAGCAGCTATACTGAAATGCAAATGTTGCTTAATAGATTACTAACAATCTCCAACCTTTCCTTATATTTAAATGATCTTGTAATTTTGATTCTTAGCAGACTCTAATATATAACACAAATAATACAGGCCGACAGTGATCATGAGCGTGATCAGGGTAACTAAATACATTTCATTCTATTACAAATAAATAAGGTCTTGGCTGCTGAATGTGAGAAAATTTGGTGTAAGAGGACTAGAAAACGAGATAAGTGATTCACAAGTTAATTTAAACACAGATAAAATGTTAGTGAGGTTTATAATCAGTACATTAGCTCTCTTAAATTCTAAGTGATTTAAATTATGTAAAATCACAAATTATTAAGCAAATTGATATCTGAAATCATTTACAATTTGTGTCAACCACCTAGTAAAAGAAAAGGCAAGCTTGGCCGGCTGTGGTGGCTTATGCCTGTAATCTCAGCACTCCGGGAGGCCGAGGCGGGCAGATCACGAGATCAGGAGTTCGGGACAAGACTGGCCAACATCTCGAAACCCCATCTGTACTAAAAATACAAAAATTAACCTGGTGTGGTGGCGCACACCTGTAGTCCCAGCTACGTGGGAGGGTGAGGCAGAAGAATTGCTTGAACCCGGGAGGTGGAGGTTGCAGTGAGCTAAGATGGCGCCACTGCACTCCAGCATGGGCGACACAGCAAGATTCCGTCTCAAAAAAAGAAAAAAAAGAAAAGAAAAAAGGCAAGCTTTACAAAACTATTGTATGTACCTATAATGTACCCAAGCTTTGTTATGAATTTTAATATGTTATTTAAAATTTAAAACAATACTGTAGAAAAAGAAATCCAAGACAACACTGTCACATTATTTTTCCATGTTATTAGATAGGATTAAACTGAAAACTAGAGAATTAAATAACACCTCTAAAGTTGCAAAGCTAATAAGTACTGGTGTAAGATTAGTACTCAGGCCTATTGGACTCTGATATTTATGCTTTTCCACTGTCACACACTCTCTTGCACTGAATTAACTTTTTTCGAACTCAGTCCGTTCTTAGTTTTTCCACATAAATCTTTTGAGGAAACCACAAACTGTATCCATTTAGAATATACAGTTTGAAAGGTTCTTACAGCTATAGACCATCAAGATGCAGATATTTCTATTTTCCTCAAAAGATTCCTCATGATCCTTTACAGTCTATAGCTCATAACTCCCTTCCCCATCCTGCTCAGGCAGCAGGAACACTGATCTTTCCTGTCACTATAGATTGATCATTTTATGTTAATGAAATCTTAACGCATACACTTTTAGTTTCTGTGTCTTGAAACCTAATAATTTTAAGATTCATGTTATGTGTTTCATAGCTGTTTTCATTTTAGGAAGTATTTAGTTTTATGGGATATCACAGTTTATTTATTTAAGTATTGATGGACTTTTATGTTGTTTTCAGTATTGTCTATTATGAATAAAGCTTCTGTTCACATTTGGGTATAAGTATGTGTGTAAATATGTTTTCATTTCTCATGGGGAAATAATGCTTAGGAGAAGAATTGGATAGGTATATGGTTGACTTTTGAAGAAATGTATCCTGAATAGAGCTTGCAGGAGTGGAAACTGCTCTTGGTGAGTCAGTGGGTATGTGGCGAGTGAAAGTGAAGACTTAGGACCTTACTGTGCACTACCATAGACTTTATAAACACTATACACTCAGGCTACTGAAAATTTGTATAAATTTTTTTCTTTCTTCAATAAAAATTACCTGTAGCTTACTATAACTGTCACTTCATAAACTTCTAATTTTAAAAATTTTTGACTCTTTTGTAAGGATAGCTTAAAATACAACACATTGTACAGCTGTACAAAAACATCCTTATTATATAAGCTTATATATATATATATATATATATATATACTTTTTTTACTTTTTAAACTGTCTCGTTAATAAGGAAGACACAAACATGCACATTAGCCTAGGCCTACACAAGGCCAGTATCATCAATATCACTGTCTTCCACCCCCACATCTTGCCCCACTGAAGGTCTTCAGGAACAATCACATGCATGGAGCTGTCATACTTTATGATAACAATGCCTTCTTCTGGAATATCTCCTTTTAGTATTAACTAGAACTGTATTTTATAGCAAGATCAAATAACTAACTGGTACTGATATAAATAAGAAAGGTAATGCATATAGAGACTTTCAAAGCCCCAATCTCTGTGTTTTTATTGATGATAGAAGGATGATCTTGCTATAAAATACAGTTCTATTTAATACTGTAAGTTAAATCTTTAGCATAAGGCCTAGAAGAGATATTCTTTTTTTATTATTTTTTTGTTTAGAAAATTAAAATTACCAAGCAAAATATAAATGCCCAGAATGTATTAAAATTTAGTTTTCCTTTGTAATACACATTTAAATCAAACTTTTTTACACAAAGTGGGTAAAGTTAAATAATTAGCTCTTTCCTAGTACAGATTATCAAAAAAGAGAAGTTGATATCTCCTGGAAAGCATAAGCTCACAGGCTAAAATACAAATCACTCAAAAATGAAGTATCTCAAAAAAAAAAAAAAAAAACAGAAACTGGACAACAAAGATCACCTGGAGAGAATTAATGAAGTAGTAAACATGTAATTTAAAGTAAGCATGGTAAGTACATTTAAGGAGAAAAAAAGATGATATTAGCAATATGAAACAAATGTAAGATATAAAAAAGATAAAGGAGAAATACAGGCATATATGTATAAAACAGCAAACATGATCTAATACTTGGTGAAAGATTGTAATTAATCTACTTACTAAAGAAGAAATCCAAAAAGTTTATGAGGATATTAATGAGTGCTTACAATTTTAATGACCATAAAAATGCAAATAACAACAAAAAAGATAAATCACTTATTTTTTTTGTCTGGTGAAAATTAAAAAGCTAGAAGGTGTTATTTATTGGACAGAAGTAGGAATAACAGAACTGGCATGGACCGCAGGTGGAAGCATAGGGTTTGTCATATGCAAAGCCCTATATTACTTCTTAAAAAATATGTTCTTATTTATCTTGGATATGTAATAGTTACAAACATATGGGTACATGTGATATTTTGATACAAGCACACAATGTAATCAAGTGAGGATTATTGGAATATCACATCAACCATTTATTATCTCTTTACGTTAGGAACATCCTAATTCAACCTTTCCATTATTTTGAAATATGCAATACACTTTTGTTAAGTACAGTCACCCTATTGTACAAATGAATACTGGATCTTATTCCTTCTACCTCTTCATAAAATATTGCTGAATATATTTCCCCTATGGGCATATACTCAGCAATATTCAGTGCTGAATTATTGTTATCACAGTATTGAGGTATTAGGAAAAAAAACTCACAGTGTTCACCAAAGGGAGAGTGTGTCGTTATTATGGAGTATTATGAATAATTAGAAGCAATGGATTACATTTTTCCATAGCAACATAGGTAAATAAAACTTTTTAACATACTAAGTGGGGATAAAAGGACGAAAAAGAAGACCTGTGCTATGATATGTTTTACTAGAATAAACACGCCTGAATAGGACACGAGATACTACTGTTTACAAGAATCCATAAAAACCAAAAGAGAGACGTTAACTATGTTAGAATCATAGCCTAATGAAACTGAAGGGAAATTGGAATAGGGAATAGAGACAAAAAGCCATAGGTAAATTAAATAAGAGCATAGTTTTGTTCAGACCAGTGTTCATAATATGTCATGATGTCATGATTTGAGAAGTAATCCTCACTTGACTTTGTGCACTAGAGTTCCAACAGAAGAAATTTAAAGAGAAAAAGCAAAGGCATTCATTACTTTGAACTAAATGATTACCCCACAGCCTTATGTTAAGCAGATAGAATGAAAATACATACTTTTAAAACTTTGAAAACTTATTGGCATTTAACAATTTCATTTCAATTTATTTTATGATTTCTCATTTATATTCTGGCTATAAGTAAAACTGCTTCTTTATGTAAGTTTTTGGGCTGCCATGAAGGTTAAATAAAGTAATTCTAATATAACATCAATTGTCTACAATAATGAGCATTCAAAAATATTGGAGATATATATATGAATAATATTATATATAATAGAATAATAAAGGAGTATTAAAACAGTGAAATGCAGCTAGTTACAAATTTTTTAAGTTGTTTTAATTTCACAGAAAATATGACCTCTTAACCCTGACTTTCCAGTTGAAATGTCTAAATTCCTCCAGTGGAAAAACTTCTATAAGCAAGGGCATAATTTAAATTATTTAAGAATGAAGCTATCAATTTGTAGAAATTATCTACGTTCATCGGTTTTCATGTAATTATAATTGTCTTTTCTAGTCTCTGAGTCTTAATATGCCATAAAAAATCAGCTCTTTAAACAGCACATCTTGTGGGATTTTAAGCAATGGTACAATATGATGGATATTTGCTGTCGTGCTTTTCCCCTACACATACTGTAAACAGGAATTTATAGTTTTTCGAGTGGATTTACTTTATATTTGTGTACCATGGTTTTCCTGAAATTAAAATGGTGAGTAACAATCAAATACGAGAAATGCTGAATATGCCTAAACTTCACAGTTAAGAAAATAATAAACCTTAAGGAAAAGTTTAGAAGGTTACAGAAAGATTGCATAAAAAGTTGTACAGTACAGTCGAGAAATAAAAACAACTAAAGCCCCTGAGTAACTTCCAGTTTTAACTAAAATGACACCTAACTATCTAAATATGATGATTCCTTATTTCTCACATGGAGTTCAAGAGCTCTTACCTTTGTAAGAATATATTTCCTATAAATTGCTAGAAGCAAATATCATTCAGAAACAAATATTGTCTGATTTATTATTGTTAGTAACTTCCCAGAAATCAAGTGTGGTCTACTATCGTTTTTTCTGGAACTCAAGAGGACCTTAGCTACCACTCAGAATAAAGGACAAAATCCATGGAATCACCTCATTAGATGCAAACGAACAAATTGGAAAAACTCAACATGCATTACTGAGAAAAACTAAGCAAGCAGATATCAAGACTTAGGCAAAAATTTGTGAAGAGAGGAAGATATTTCCTCAACATTCCTCACACCCACTTTGTAAATTCCCTGTTTCTGCTGCATCTATATACATCTACAGATACCTCTCTCTTTCAATAGTCAGCCGTAACTTGAAATCAAACTTTATTCTAAAGTAGTGTTCTCCTAAGAGAAAGTGTAATCCTAAGAAAACCCACTGGTAAATTACTTCTTTTTTGTTAAAAGTGCATCCTGGTCTCCAAAGCAGATCTCAGGTTAAATCATAATTCCATTATAAAGAATCTGAAAATGTCTTTTAAAATATTATCTTAGTTAATACTGTATAGATTATATTGAAACTTTCTGCTCTAACCGTTCAGTACTTATTACTGTGAAGTTTCAAGTCCACGAAAACCCAAAGGACAATGGGCCAACAGGTATTTTAAGAGTAAATTAGAACAGTTTAACTAATTACTCACTGATTAATATTAAGAACAGAGGCTAATGATGGATTGTCACTTCATACATATTAGGATAGCCATCATAAAAAAGACAAGATATAACAATTGTTGGTGAGGATGCTGAGAATAGTTGTACACTGTTGGTGGGAATGTAAATTGGTGCAGCCACTATGGAAGACGTATGGAGGTTCTTCATGAAATGAAAAACAGATCTGCCATATGATCCAGCAATTTAATTTCTTGGTATATGTCCAAATGAGAAGAAACCAGAATCTCAAAAAGGCACCTGAGCAACCACGCTTATTGTAGCACTCTTCACAGTAGCCAACATATGCAAACTACTTAAGTGGCTGTCATTAGATGAATGAATAAAATGTGATATAGATTTATATAGCTATTTATACACAAACACAATAAAATATTCTTTGTTTATCCTTAGAAAAAAGGAAATCCTGCCATTTGTGACAACATGGCTAAACCTAGAGGGTATTCTGCTAAGTGAAATAAGCTAGACAGAGAAAGATAAATATTGTATGGCATCATTTACTGTGTAATCTTAAAAAAAAAGGCAAACTTACAGAAACAGAAAAAAGAATAGTGATTGCTAGGGATTCGTGAATGGAGGAAGTGGGGAGATGTTGGTCAAATTTTATAAACATTCAGTTATAAAATGAGTTCTGAGAATCTAATATACCACATAAGGATGATAGTTAATAATATTGTATTGTACACTTGACATTTGCTAAATATCCTCATAAAAAAGGGAACTATATTAGGTGATTAATATATTAATTAAATTGATCCTGGTAATCATTTCACAATGTGCATAGATAACAAATCATCACATCGTACACTTTAAACATATATAATTTTATTTGTCAATTATGGCTCAATAAAGCTGGAAAAAAGAACAAAAGCTAATACTCTTACCTCAAAAGTAAAACAGTCATGAAAAGTTAAGTGGTTCAACATACTGCCAGAGTACCGAATTGATACCTGTTTATCTGAAAGTAAACTTAATTGAGCAGTTAATGATAAGTTTATCGTGTCCAGAACATCAAAGGAAACTTCCACTCAGAAAAAATTAAATCACTCTGTATGGAATCCACGTGCAAAATGAATCCTTATCTCAAAATAAAATCTATCCTCCTGGAAGCTGATTGAAAAAATAAGTACTCAGAATTTGGAGCTACAATCCTGGACTTTTTATAGAAGAGAGCAGGGATTTAGTGGGCACCATTTATCTTAATAGGGAAATAGACAGAACCTGCCACCAGTTTTACAAAGATTAGAAATTTCAACTTTTCATGGATTTTGGTAAATTTGAAGTTTAAAAAATAAATCTATTATAAATTGTAATTTTATGTCAATTTGCACTTGTTCTAAGTCTGACTACTTCACTCTTTAAATTTTATGAATGGTCTTCTTTATCACACCTTCCCCATAAAATCTGTCCTGAAACTCACGTGTCCTGAATCACAATCTTATTAATTTCATAGGTGGAAATTTAAAATGGAAACAAAATAATGCAACAGAAACTCTTAACTAGTAAAAGAAACTCAAGTATATTTGTACATGTGGTATTTCTGTATCTGTGTTTGATGCTGTCATAATGTCAAATGAGCTAGGATGAGCCACATTTTCCAGCATTCACTTTCGTGTATGTTCTCCTTAGGAAAGACATTCTCTTTACGAAAGACCACGAGGACAATTCTTGGTATATTTGGAAAGCCAAAGGGTAGCAGCAATTGTTTTGCAGCACACCTTCACATTGTCCGTGAGCAGCTGATGCACGTCATTGGTGTGAGGCAACAGTTGCTCTCCCTTCTCAAGCTCACCCATCAGCTTCTTGCATTCGTGAACCAAATGCGTGTTTAGTTCTGTGTCAAAGGCCCGGTTCCCGAAGTCTGCCTTTACTGCCAAGGTCAGGGACAACAAAAGCAGCTACTGGCTTCAGTGGAGTTTTAGATTATGTACGTGAGTTCCAGCCTGCCCTTGATCTGACCCACTTCACATCCATCTTCCCTTTGTGACTGCCTGCCTTGTGGACTCAGAGCTCCAGCATCAGACTTGCAGAAGACAGCCTTGCAGGGACTGCTTAATTAGCTTCTTAAATTGTGTAAGGCGCAGTTAATTATGTTAGTGCAAATGTAATATTTCTTACTACAAACATGTATGTAAATATCCTCCCTTACTGCTTCTGCTTGTCTGGTAGAACCTTGACTGGTAAAGTGTGTGTGTGTGTGTGTGTGTGCACGTGTGTGTGTGTGTGTATGCATGTCTGTGTGTGTGTCTGTGTTTTATTATAACAATCTTATAAAATAGTTTCATAATGAAATGGTTTTGGATGGGAGGACAGAAGGAAACTGAATCAAAAAGAGGTTTAACAACTTGCCCAAGGTGAAACAGGAGGTCATGCAATCAGGATTGGAAGCTGGTCATATTAGACTCATTTTAAGTAAAAGGAAGTAGATATGGCAATCCGTGTAGTTACACAGTTCCTGACACATAGTAGGTATTCACAGGACATTATTTCTCTCTTTCTGGGTGATTTTCCACACCAAATGGCTCAGCTGACAGTCCAAGAATCCACATGAACTGTAGAGAGCATGCATTTGCTGAACATGCACAGAATGAACAGGAAACACAGACAATGGTTTGCTTTTATTATCATTGTACTGTTCTCTCAAGGTGAGCCAGAAATGAATGATTAATTACCTGCCTACATTTGGCTTTATTTATAAAATCTCACACAATCAATAATTGATTGTTCTCTGAGGTACCAACTCAGACACTAAAAATGGCATGTTCCTTCCTTCCAGCAAGGAAAAAGAAATGCACTTGATTTTTTGGAGATAATGGGGGCAGGAGAGGAGAAAGTTTGACAGTGACTATGGAGATTTGATAGGGTCTTATTTTAAGTGGCAGAATGCCAGCAGAAACAATTGGGGGGTTATTGTTTTTCTCACACTCAAAGACAAAAGGCTCATTTCTAGTTACATATAAAATAATTTTCAATAGAATGAAATGACATCCATTAACTAGCAGTGACAGCATTTGCTTCTTCTTTTTTTCCCTCCAAATTAGAGTTTAACATCAGCCAGGCTTGCCTGGAAAAAAATGAAAATGAAGAATCTGGAATTTTTAATATGCCCATTTAATCTCAATCATTTTCTGTCTTGCCACAGTAATTTTTACTTAGGCCAATTTAGTAATGACAAGTTTTGCACAAATTTTAATCATCTTTAAAAATATTGTCAAGAAATAATTTAAAATAAAGGATCAAACAGTATTTTTCTCTGATAAGAGCAGGTGAGTAGTGTCATATTTACCATGAGGTACAAAAGCAAAACTGATGAATCATTCAGACTGCAAGGGATACAATCTAAATTTCTAATCACAGCAAACAATACCAAAGTGTTTTACCTACTAGGGAAGCTAAGTTGATTGATTTAAATTGCCAGATTTTGGTATCAGGATGATGCTGGCCTCATAAAATTAGTTGGCAGGGAGTCACTCTGCCTCAACTTTTTGGAATAGTTTCAGTAGGAATGGTATCAGCTCATCCTTATACATCTGGTAGAATTTGGCTGTGAATACATCTGGTCCTGGGCTTTTTTTTTTTTTGGTTGGTAGGATACTTATTACTGATTCAGTTTTGGAGTTTATTATTGATCTGTACAGGGAATGAGTTTCTCTCTGGTTCAGTCTTGGGAGGGTGGATGAGTCCAGGAATTAATTCAGCACTTCCAAGTTGTCTAGTTTGTGTGCATAGAAATGTTCATAGTAGTCTCTGATGGTTGTTTGTATTTCTGTGGGGTTAGTGGAAATATCCCCCTTGGCATTTCTGATTGTGTTTATTTGGATCTTCTGTCTTTTCTTCTTTATTAATCTAGCTGGCAGCCTATCTATCTTGTTAAATTTTTTTCCAAAAAAAAAAAAAAAAAAAAAAAACTCCTGGGTTCCCTGATCTTTTGAAATTATTTTTGTGTCTTGACCTGATCTTGAGTTCAGCTCTGATTTTATTTCGTGTCTTCTGCTAGATTTGGAGTTGGTTTTATCTTGCTTTTTGTAGCTCCTTTCGTTGTGATGTCAGGATGTTAATTTGAGATCTTTCTAATGTTTTGATGTGGGAATTTATTCCTATATATTGTTCTCTTAACACTGCGTAGCTGTGTCCCAGAGATTCTGGTATGTTGTATCTTTGTTTTCATTAGATTAAAAGAACTTTCTAATTTCTACCCTAATTTTATTATGTACTCCAAAGCCATTCAGGATCATGTTGTTTAATCTCCATATAATTGCATGGTTTTGAGTGATTTTCTTGTCTTGATTTCTATTTTTATCTTGCTGTGGTCTGAGAGTGTGTTTGATATAATTTCAGTTCTTTGCATTTGCTGAGAAATGTTTTATGTCCAATTGTGTAGTTAATTGTAGAGTATGTGCCATGTGGTGAAGACAAGAATCCACATTCTGTTGTTTTGGGATGGTGAGTCTGCAGAGGTCTATCAGATCCGTTTGGCCCAATGTTGAATTCAAGTCCTGAATTTCTTGGTCAATTTTCTGCCTCGATGATCCATCTAATATTGTCAGTGGAGTGTTGAAGACTCCCATTCTTATTGCGTGGGAGTCTACGTCTCTTTGTATGTCTCTAAGACCTTGCTTTATAAATGTATGTGCTTCTGTGTGGGGTGCATGTATATTTGGATAGTTAAGTCTTCTTGTTGAATCGAATCCTTTATCATTATGTAGTACTCTACTTTGTCTTTTTTTTAATTTTTGTTGGTTTAAACTCTGTTTTGTCTATAATTAGGACCATAACCCTTGCTTTTTTTCTGATTTCCATTTTCTTGGTAAATTTTCCTCCATCCCTTTATTTTGAGCCTATGTGTGTCATTGTGTGTGAGTTGGATCTCTTGAAGACAGCACACCATTTGGTCTTGCTTGTTTATCCAACTTGCCACTCTCTTTTAAAGGGGGTATTTAGCCCATTTACATTCAAGGTTAGTATTGATATGTGTGGATTTGATTCTACCATTGTATTATTAGCTGCTTATTAAGCTGTCTTGTTTATGTGGCTGCATTATAGTGTCACTGCTCTGTGTACTTAGGTGTGTTTCTGTATTGGCTAGTAATGATCTTTGCTTTCCACATTTTAGTGCTCCTTTCAAGATCTCTTATAAGATGAATCTCATGGTAACAATGTCCATCAGCATTTGCTTATCTGAAAAAAATCTCATTTTTCCTTCACTTAGGAGCTTAATTTGGCCAGATATTAAATTCTTGGTTGATATTTTAATTGAAGTATGTTGAATATAGACTCACAGTCACTTCTGGCTTGTAGGGTTTCTGCTGAGAGGTCCACTCTTAGCCTGATGGGGTTCATTTTGAAGGTGACCTGCCCTTTTTTTCTACCTGCCCTTAACATTCTTTCTTTTGCTTCTGCCTTGGAAAATCTGATGATTATTTACCTTGGGGATGATCTTCTTTTGTACAGTCTTGCAGGGGTTCTCTGTATTTCTGAAATTTTACTGTTTGCCTCTCTACAGAGGTTGAGAAGTTTTCATGGACAATATCCTGTAATATGTTTTCCAAGTTGTTTTCTTTCTTTACATCTCTTTCAGGGATGCCAATGATTAATAGATTTGGCCTCTTTACATAAGCCCATATTTCTTGGAGGTTTAGATCATTCATTTTCATTCTTTTCTTTATTTTTTTGTCTGACTGTCTTATTTCAGTCTTCAAGTTCTGAGATTCTTTCCTCAGCATGGTCTTTTCTGCTGTTAATACTTGCAGTTACATTGTGAAATTCTTGCAGGGTGTTTTGCAGCTCTATCAGATCAGTTAGATTTCTTTTTACACCAGCCATTTTGTCTTTCAGCTCCTGTATCATTTTATTGTGATTCTTAGTTTCCTTGGATTGGGTTTTGCCATTCTCCTGAATCTCAGTAATTTTTGTTCCTATCCATAGTCTGAATTCTATTTCTGTCATTTCGGTCAACTCAAAATGGTTAAGAATCTTTGTTGGAGAAATACTGTGATTGTTTGGAGGACATAAGACACTCTGGCCATTTGAGTTACCAGAGTCCTTGTGTTGGTTTTTTCTCATCTCTGTGTGTGAGTATGCCTTTAACTGCAGTGTAGCTTGATTACAGTCAGTAGACTTCTTTTCTGGTTGTATTCACAGGGCTGAAGCTTTGTGCAGGGTTGGTCTTTATTTGTAGTTGACTACTTGTCTTTGGTTTCACAAGGGCATATGTTAGTCAGGTATTTTTGGTGTTGAAGATTTGGGGTGTGATCCAGTATGTGGTGCTTAGGTACAGCGGTCAGTTTGTAGGCTCGTGCTCAGTCATTTGGCTACCCTATATTTCCTAATGGTTGCAGTCTTGCTCCCTCTCAATGCTCTGAAATTGTGTTCTCCTCTCCCATTTCAGTATTAGGCTGAAGATTGTGGCTTGGCACTCCCAGACTGCTCACTGAAGCTCTGAGGTGATCTCACAGTTTATGTTTCTTCTTCAACTTGGAGGCAGCAGAGGAGGGACCTGAGCAAAGGTTATATCCTCTGGTCTTTTACTTGTCTCCTTGAGGCTTCACCTCAGAGAGATGCAGGTCAGCAGTTGCTCAGTGTGATCAGCCCAGGATGAGGGAGTCAGTGTTTTGGGTCCAATCCAGGGGTTTAATGCCTGGCAATGAGCAGAGAGTGTGAGGATAAGACTCAGGAGAGACAGATTGGCCTCCTCAGCTTGGGTTGACTACAGCTTTTTGGAGGTGTGGATGAGGCATTCAGGGTATTTGTTCCTTTGTTAGTCTGAAGGTAGCAGGGTTAGTCCCATGGCAGAGGCAGTGACAAAGAGGTTTTCAGTTGCCCCTGGGCCTCTACCTCTGAGAAATATGGAGCCACTGTTACCGGGAGTATTCGGCCAGTGGGGTGGGGCGACGACACTGCTGGAATGAACTTGAGGCTTCCCTTGTTGGGGATCAGGAAGTGGAGGGCTTACCAGAAGGAGACACTGGTCACCTCTTCATATGGTGACTGTGGCAAGCTGTAAGCTCAAGTGTAGCCCTCAGGCTCTTTATTTCTTCCCCAGACTGAGGACAGCAGGGATAGAAATGCTGCTCTGACAATGGAAGAGGGACTGTTGTATGCCTCTGGGGACTTCTCCTCAGGGAAACTCTGCATCACTACCAGTGGGTTTATGCAGCCACGGGGAGGGTGACTGTTCCACAGTCATGAGCCAGGGTCCCTGCCTGGTGAAGAGTGGGCAGTTGGGGTTTCCCCAGGAAGAGGGGCTGGATTCCTCCTTGTATGGTGGCTATGGTGTACTGCAGGTGAGAGACAGGAATAGCTGGATTTCCCAGGCCAACTAAGAATCCCTAAGCCTAGCTGGGAAGGTGACCGCATCCACCTTTAAACACAGGGCTTGCAACTTAGCTCACACCCGACCAATCAGAGAGCTCACTAAAATGCTAATTAGGCAAAAACAGGAGGTAAAGAAATAGCCAATCATCTATTGCCTGAGAGCACAGCGGGAGGGACAAGGATCGGGATATAAACCCAGGCATTCGAACAGGCAATGGCAACCCCCTTTGGGTCCCCTCCCTTTGTATGGGAGCTCTGTTTTCACTCTGTTTCACTCTATTAAAACTTGCAACTGCACTCTTCTGGTCCGTTTGTTACGGCTCGAGCTGAGCTTTCACTTGCCGTCCACCACTGCTGTTTGCCACTGTCGCAGACCCGCTGCTGACTCCCATCCTGCCGCTGACTCCCATCCTGCCGCTGACTCCCATCCCTCCAGATCCAGCAGGGTGTCTCCTGTGCTCCTGATCCAATGAGACTCCCATTGTCACTCCCGATCGTGCTAAAGGCTTGCCATTGTTCCCGCAGAGCTAAATGCCTGGGTTCGTCCTAATCGAGCTGAACGCTAGTCACTGGGTTCCATGGTTCTCTTCCATGACCCACGACTTCTAATAGAGCTATAACACTCACCCCATGGCCCAAGATTCCATTCCTTGGAATCCGTGAGGCCAAGAACCCCAGGTCAGAGAACACGAGGCTTGCCACCATCTTGGAAGTGGCCCACTGCCATATTGGAAGTGGCCCACTGCCATATTGGAAGTGGCCCACCACCATCTTGGTTGCTCTGGGAGCAAGGACCCCTGGTAACACAGGTACTGGCATAGTGACTAGGCTCCTTCTTCCTTCCCTGATGTAAGGTTTTTAGGGTGGTACCACTGCAACTGCAGTGGTGGAGGGGTTGTGTGTTGACTCTTGAATTTTATCCATGGAGAAATGTTGGGCTGCCTCTGAATGGAGTGATCAGGCAGTGGGAGGGTGGTTGTGCTGGAGTCTCAGGTCACATGGTTCTGCCCAGTGAGAAGTGAGGACCAGAACCTGTGTGAAGAACAGTCTGGCCCTTTTCCATTAAGTATTTTGATATGGTTTGGCTGTATCCCCTCCAAATCTCATCTTGAATTGTAACTCCCATAATTCCCATGTGTTGAGGGAGGGACTAGGTGGGTGATAATTGAATCATGGGGGTGGTTTCCCTCATGCTGTTCTCATGGTAGTGAATAAGTCTCATGAGATCTGATGGTTTTATAAGGGTTTCCCTTTTCACTTGATTCTCATTCTCTCTTTGCCTGCTGCCATGTAAGACCTACCTTTCACCTTCTGCCATGATTGTGAGCCCTCATCAGCCACATGGAACCATAAGTCCATTAAACCTCTTTTCCTTTATAAATTACTCAGTCTCAGGTATGTCTTCATCAGCAGTGTGAAAATGGCAAGTTGTGAATTTAACGTCAGCAGTGTGAATACAGTCAATTGGTACTGGGAGAGTGGGGCATTGCTGTAAATATAACCAAAAATGTGGAAGCAGTAACAAGCATTTTGGAACATTTTGGAGGGCTCAGAAAAAGAAAGGAAAATGTGGGAAAGTTTGGAACTTCTTAGGGACTTGTTGAATGGCTGTGACCAAAATGCTGATAATGATATAGACAATGAAATCCAGGCTGAGGTGGTCTCTGAAGGAGATAAGGAAGTTGTTGGGAACTGGAGTAAAGGTAAATCTTGCTATGTTTTAGCAAAGAGACTGGTGGCATTTTGCCCCTGCCCTAGAGATATGTGGAACTTTGAACTTGAAGGAGATGATTTAGGGTATCTGGTGGAAGAAATTTCTAAGCATCAAAGCATTCAAGAGGTGACCTGGGTGCTATTAAAAGCATTCAGTTTTAAAAGGAAAGCAGGATAAAAATTCAAAAAGTTTGCAGCCTGCAATGAGATAGAAAAGAAAAACCCATGTTCTGAGGAGAAATTGAAGCCTGCTGCAGAAATTTGCATAAGCAACCAGGAGCCAAATGTTAATCACCAAGACAAGGGGGAAAATGTCTCTAGGGCAGGTCAGAGACCTTTGTGGCAGCCCCTACCATCCAGGCCCAGAGGCCTAGGAGAAAATGGGTTGGGCCCAGGGCCCCCCTGCTGTGTACAACCTAGGAACTTGATGCCTTGAGTCCCAGCCACTCTGGTCATGGCTAAAAGAGGCTAAGGTACAGCTTGAGCCATGGCTTCAGAGGGCACAAGGATGCAAGCCCCAAGCGTTGGCAGCTTCCACATGATGCTGAGCCTGCGGGTGCACAGAAGTCAAGAATTGAGGTTTGGTAACCTCCACCTAAATCTCAGATGATGTATGGAAATGCCTGTATGTCTAGGCAGAGGTGGGCTGTAGGGGCAGAGCCCTCATTAAGAACCTCTTCTAGGGCAGTGAGGAAGGGAAATGTGGGGTTGAAATTCCCACACAGAGTTCCCACTGGGGCATTGCCTAGTGGAACTATGAGAAGAGGGCCTCTGTCCTCTAGAACCCAGAATGATAGATTCCACTGACAGCTTGCACCGTGCACCTGGAAAAACCACAGACACTCAATGTCAGCCTGTGAAAACAGCAGAGAGGGAGGCTGTAACCCTGTAAAGTCACAGAAGCAAAGCTGCCCTAGACCATGGGAATCCACTTCTTGCATCAGCATGACCTGGATAAGAGACATGGAGTCAAATGAGATCAGTTTGGGGTTTTAAAATTTGACTGCCCCACTAAATTTTGGACTTCCATGGGGCCTGTAGCTCCTTGTTTTTTGTTTTTTTTTTTTGGGGGGGGGGGGTTTTTTCTGATTTCTCTTATTTGGAATGGCTGTATTTACCCAATACCTGTACCCCAATTGTATCTAGAAAGTAACCAACTTGCTTTCAATTTTACAGGCTCATAGGCAGATGGGACTTGCCTTGTCTCAGATGAGACTGTTGACTGTGGACTTTTGAGTTAATGCTAAAATGAGTTAAGACTTTGGGAGACTGTTGGGAAAGCATGATTAGTTTTGAAATGTGAGGACATAAGATTTGGAAAGGGCCAGGGGCAGAATGCCGTGCTTTGGCTCTGTCCTCACCCAAATCTCATCTTGAATTTTAGCTCCCATGAGTCTGATGTGTTATGGGAAAGAAGTAGTGGGAGGAAATTTAATCATGGGGGCGGTTCCCCCATATTTTTCTCATGGTAGTGAATAAGTCTCAGGAGGTCTGATGGTTTCACAAGGGGTTTCCCTTTCACTTGCTTCTCATTCTGTCTGTGCCTGCTGCCATGTAAGATGTGGCTTTTGCCTTCTGCCATGATTGTGAGGCCTCCTCAGCCATGTGGAACTGTGAGTCCATTAAACCTCTTTTCCTTTATAAATTACCCAGTCTCGCGTATGTCTTCACCAGCAGTGTGAAAATGTACTAACACATAGTTGCTCCATGCTGGAGATCTGGACCTGCTCTGGGCCCCACAGACTATCCAGTCTGGAGATAGCAAGGTCAAGGGCTGCAAGACAGCAAAGATAGCAACCTGCCCCTACCACTGCAAGTTCTGTTCCAGGGAGTTGCAGAGCTGATGGGGAGTTTCTAGAGACCCAGGCCTGAAAGACCTGCCCAGTAAGGAGATATGGGATTGGAGGCCCACATAACAAACAGTCTGGCCGCTTAGGGCTGCTGCAGTGTGCCAGGTGTCCACTCTAGTCCCTAGTCACCTCAAATGTTCTAGAACCTGAAGGAAGCAACAGTGAAGGCTGTGAAATAGCAAAGATGGCAGCCTGCCCCTTCCTCTGGGAGCACCATCACAAGGAGGTACAGGCCTGTTGCCAGCCCTAATACACCTGCAGGAAGTGGCTGGAGACCCCAGTAAGAAGATCCCACCCAGTGAGGAGCAACAGGTTTGGAGACCCACATAAAAAAGCAGTTTGGCCATTTTTCCATAGGGTAGCTGTGCTTTGCTGGGGGTCCGCTCCAGCCCTGGTCACTTCCCACTCTCTAAACATTGAAGGCAACACCAGCTAAGGCTGCTAAACAGCAAAGATGGTGGTCCACCCTTCCCTCTGAGAGCTCCTTCACAGGGCGGTTTGGAACTGTTGCTGGCCAGAAAACACCAGCAGGGTAGCTGGAAACCCCTGAGGAGGTCCTGCCCAGTGAGGAGGAATGGGATCAGTGACCCATGTTAAGAAAGCAGTCTGACTGATTTATTTTTATTTTATTTTATTTTATTTTGTTTTATTTATTTATTTATTTAGAGACAGAGTCTCTCTATTGCCCAGGCTGGAGTGCAATGGCACGATCTCGGCTCACTGCAACCTCCACCTCCCAGGTTCAAGTGATTCTCCTGCTTCATCTTCCTGAGTAGCTGGGATTACAGGCACACGCCACCACGTCCAGCTAATTTTGTATTTTTAGTAGAGACAGGGTTTCACCATGTCAGGCTGGTTTTGAATCATGTCGGTCAGACTGGTTTCAAACCATGTTGGTCAGACTGGTCTCGAACTCCTGACTTCATGATCTGCCTGCCTCGGCCTCCCAAAGTGCTGGCATTACAGGCATGAGCCACCGCACCCAGCCTTGGCTGCTTCTTTTGTAGAGCAGATAGGCTGTGCTGGGGGTCCATTCTATCCCCTAGTTGCCTCAGATTCTCCAAAGCCCAAAGGCAAGAATGGCTAAGGCTGTGAAACAGCAAAAATGGCAGCCCAACCCTCCCTCTGGGAACTCCATCCCAAGGAGGTTAGAACTGCCCTCAGTGAAAAACACTAGCAGGGGTGACTGTAGACCCTGGTCTGGAGATTCCACACAGTTAAGAGAAATGAGATCTGTATTCCATTTAAATAAGCATTCTGGCCACTTCTTCACAGAGTTATAAACTGTACTGGGGGACCCCTCCAGTATCTAGTTGCCTGGGACTCCCTAGAGCCCAAAGGCAAAAACAGCTAAGGCTGTGGAACAGCAAAGATGGTGGTCTACCCCTCCCTCTGAGAGCTCTATCTCAGGGAGTTGCAACGCTGCTACTGGTGGCTGTGGGTCTTATCCTGCAAGGGGTTTTGGAAGTGGGACCTACAGACCATTGCTGCTCAGCTTTCTGGATTAAGCCCTTTTCCTGGGGGTATGTATGGGGGTCCAACCTCCCACTTTGCAGGAGTTGCAGTCACTTATACCAGGAAGCTTGGGTAACTAAGGCTCCCTGAGTTCCACGTGTGCCTGAGTGGCTGCTCTGTGGAGACTCCACATAGCTCTGCATGTCAGACTGAAGGCCCTGGCTGAGTGGGTTCATGAGGGGAGTCTCCTGACCCAAGAGTTGCAAAGATCCTTGGGAGAAGCGTGTTGCTCACTCAGTCATTGCTTTCCTGGGCTCCTCTGGAGCTGTGTCACTCCCAAGTGGGCTGTCATCCTGCCTTGCTTTATTACTTTCTCTGCGGGTCGAGTTGTTTCCTGGATGAGACTCAGTGCATGCACCTGGGTGTTTCAGTTGAAGGTGCTGTATTTACTCACCCCTTCCATTTCTCTCCGTTACAGAGGTGCATGCTAGCAGCTTCTAGTCAGCTATCTAGGCCAAAACCTCAGGATTTTCTTTTACTGTATTTGTTTTGTTGTTCTTTTCTTCTTCTTTTTCTTATTTTTTAAGACTGATCTCCATTTTACTTTGCATCTGGTTCTATTTACTTACAAATTAAATGTCTGATTTCATGCTTTGACTGTGACCCTAAAAAAAGACACCTTACTTTTTTTTCAACAATAGGTAACTCTTATAGGTTACCACTAAACAGTGGCAGAAATTTAAACAGCTACCTACAAATATTATATGAAAGTGGAGCAAAGCATCATCATAACTATTTTAGTTATGATGGAGGCATACTCTATAAAGAAACAAAAAAAAGAGAATTTTACTGTATTAACAAATGTGTTCAATTTTGCATGAAACTGTTTATCAGCAAAATAATGCAAGTAAAAACAAGACAATAGTAATTTCTTTCCAAAGTTTTGGAAAATGTTGGTAGTCATAAAGGTTGGTAGTTTTTTTTTTTTTAGTTTGTGGTATATAAACTCTCAGTATTTTTATTGTAATTTTTTTCAAGGTAGCTTTTGCTCCCAGATTTGTGCTAACAAGTCTGTGACAATGA
This sequence comes from Homo sapiens, assembly GCF_000001405.40. Taxonomy (NCBI): domain Eukaryota; kingdom Metazoa; phylum Chordata; class Mammalia; order Primates; family Hominidae; genus Homo; species Homo sapiens. Next base: position 85,171,049 of record NC_000005.10, read on the forward strand.
TGTAGTAACGATGATATACCTCAGATTAGCACTACTTAAATGCCACCTGTAAAAACAGCAGGAAGGCAATATAGTGAGGAACAGAACAGCAGGTAAGACGGTGTTTGTGTAAGTACTAGCTATGTAGTTGTTAAAGCTAATGAGGAATAAAAGGTAATGCGACTTATCCTTGTCTTGTCCAGAGTTTGGAAGCATATTGTAGAGTAAGTCCCAAGAGAAAATGATGGAAAATTGCCTAGATAGAGTGAAATCAATGGCCAACAGAACAAATGACTTCTTTTTCTTGAGTCTACAATAACCAGTGCCGAGTTAGAAGAAAGGAGTGTGTTGGCCTACAGGTACTTAGAGATATATCATATATGATATATGATATCATATATCATATATCCTCATCATGGTTCACTCCTCCCTGCCCAATTTCTCTTTGAAATTGGGCAGGGAGGAGTGAACCATGATGAGTTTCATCCCCAGGAATTAAAGTGCTAAAGTAAAGTGAGGTTGATATTTCATTTCTTATAATCAGTCAAATAGGGAGGTAGAGTGAGATCAAGTCATGAAAATTTTCATCATTTGTTGATAACATCAGATATTTTTTCCTCCTTCTGCCCCAACAAGATGAGTCCTTGTTTGGTCATCGTATTAAGCGTAAAGGTACTTAATATTAATACACAATGGTATAAACATAAGCCCTGTATATAAATTTGTAATTACCTATATATCACCTAGTCACTATTAAAGATTAGAAAAAGTTACCTTAAAAGTTAAATATTTTGAAAATTCAGATTTCTGTTGCTAGATCTTTCTTTCTTTTCATTTTGTAGCTTGATGATTATTAAATTTCATCATGCACTTAAACTGTGGAAATCGTTTGTATACAAAAAAACTTGTATGCTATGCATGGCAGATTTAAGGAAATGTCAAAGAAATGTTGCATGATTTAAAAGTGTTTGATGATAGCCCGTATGACACTTTACAGTCTAATTTCATGCAAAACACAGTCTCGGCTATGTGAATATATTGTGTGTGTATATGCGTGTGTGTGTGTGTGTGTGTGTGTATATATATATGTGTATATATATATATATATACACATATATATATACACACATATATATATATATATATATATATATACACATATATATATATGAATTGGTTTACTTATGTGGGAACCAGCTAGCAAGCTCCAAAATCTGTGTAGTGGGCCATGAGGAAGTCCAGGTTGAAACTTGTGGATGAGCTGATGGCAATATACAGGCAGAATTTCTTCTTTTTCAGGGAAGCTTCATTACTGTTCCTAAATGACTCAACTGATGAAATCAGGTCTTTTCCCAGATTATCTGTTATAATCTCCTTTATCAAGTCAATGTATTATAGATATTAATCATATCTACAAAATATTTATACAGCTAGTCCTAAGATTTGTGATTTATAGAATAAATGAACACTACAGCCTAACCAAATTGATACATAAAAAATGACTAAGGCAGCTATTTACGTCAACCATGGAACATATCATATTTTTCCAAGATGCAAATAAATGACATGGATGATTTGTTTTAGGGCACATGTAGTATTAAAATATTTTGTTTTTCTCCAAATTTTGAAATAATAATCATTGATTTTGAGGACCATGTGAGCATGTGTATATTTTTATTCTATATTTTAATTTGAAGCATAGAAAATTTCAAACCTATATGGTTATTCAGAGAATAATACAGTGAAGCCCAATGTACTCATAAACCGACTTCGACAATTATTAATAGTTTCAGAATTTAAAATACACACATATATTTCTTTAATCACTAAGATATACGACTAACTAGATTTGGTTATCAATTTGTAAAAGGCATAAGGGAACTTAGTCTCTCTGAGGGATACTGGACTTACATTTTTCATTTATTGGTTAACACAAGAGAAAATCCCTGTGAGTAACAAGGTGGCCAGAATAAGCTGCAATATTATTTTCTTTTTATTTTAGTTTTTTCACCTAATGAATGCAGTTGAATTTTATGACACCACCATTTATTGAATAGATGTAACTTTCCTACTGAGTAGTATTAAGAAAATACTAGAGAAAGACAATACTGAGTAGTAAAAATCAAGGATATCAGGATAAAAATATATGATAACATTTCAAATGGTGCATTTTAAGAGGGTATAAAATAATTCCTTTAACAATATACAAAAATTATGTTACTGGTCTATTAGGGATAGGAAACTCAGGTTGGAGAGAAGACAAGGTATTTGCTTATTTATCCATTGTAAGTTTTCAAGATACAGCACAATGGATGAACTAGTGAAATGCCACATTGCTTTTACTCAGTGCAGTATTGCTTTAATGTAAAATTCATGCTCAATTGCAATTTTCCCTCTGAAGGTTTAAATGAGCTGATGGATTCTGAAAAATGCACTGAGCAGCTAAAGTCTAATAGAGTTATGGTGTTAATAGCAATTGAGATCTCTCTATTTTGTACCAGAAATAGGTATGATAGAGTCCATAAGGAGGGGGGAAAGGGCTCTGTAAATTATTTAGTCACAAAAGTGAATGTCACATGATTATTACCCTTGTCTTAGGGAAACATGCATGATAATGTATTCATTATTGATTATTTCTCTGTAGGACTTCTGCTTTGGCTCATTGCTCATTTTAAATGGCTCAGTAAGTCACAAGTGTTGTCAGTGCTTCCTCACTTAACTTTGCATCATTTGTTTACAGCATCTGTTCAACACTAGCCTGCATTATGGATGAATTCCTATAGTCTGTAAGGATTTAATGCATAATGCAGTTTTATATTAAATATGTTACACATATGTCATACCCACAGTGGAATTGTTTGGAGACAACTGTAGATAACAGTGTATTATTTTATTCTGTATCCCAAAGACTTAGCACAGTGCTTAGAACATAGTATGAATTCTGTGAATGCCTGTTGAATGGTTGGTGTATAGATAAATGAATGAATAATAAAAAAAAAACTCTGCTGATTTTTATGTAAAACTTTGCACAGTGGTATACATTGCATGCACTATTGTCCTCTGCCTGGAATTCTAAATAATGGCTTTTTTCCCCTATCTAAATCCTCTTCTTCAAGGATTTGCCTTGTCCTCATGTTCTCTATAACTTTTACTTTATCACGTCATTAAATGGTGTTCTGTCTTTTGTTAATCACTTAACACTTTACAATAACTTAGTAGGAGAAAGAAGACATAAACAAGTGATGCATTAAATTATAATGTACGAACTGAAAAATTAAATCAATATAGTACCAGATAGGCACTGTGTTTTACTTTTAAAGAATACAATATTAATGTTTAGATTCAGGTCCTGTTCATTAAACTAAAATAAATCACTAAGTGTTATGAATAGACTCATTTCCCTAAGCACCTTGTGAAGATGAGACACGGCAGTTTCTAATAATGATGAGAGACATAAAGTTTTTGTGTTTAAAAAAAAACATTTTAAATTTTTCTTTATTTTAAAATATCTCTTATCTGAAATTATGTTTTTCATATAATAAACATATATTTGAAAAATGATAAATATTGAACAGCAGAAAATTAGCTTTTTATCACTCAAGTCAAAGATCTAGCACAGTTTCATATATCAATACTAATTTTGATCAAGAGATTAACATTGGAATATTAGCATTCTGTTCTTTCAAGGACAAAATGAAAGATATAAAGTAGTCATACCACTATAATATTGAAATTTCAGCTTTTAAAGAAATTGGAGCAATTATTAACTCTCACTCTTCATGCAGAGCTGTGGTGCTAAAATCTTGTATTAATTATTCCTAAGAACTTCCTGCTTTTTTGGCAAGTATGAAATATGTTGTTTGAATTAATACAAGAAATTATCAGTGGAAGAGTAAATGATGCAACATTCATTCATTCATTTATCTATTTACTCTATAAATATTTAATGATACGATACTTTCTGGAGAAAAAATTACTTTCATTTCTTATTTCTGAAATAAAGTAAAATATTCAGAATCATAGGTCTCATAGTAATATCTTAGCATGGGATCACATTCCCACCTGGATGGATTTGTTCATAGGATGTGGGTGTGAGCCGATAATGTAGCCTTTTCTACATACAGTCCATGTAATCTTTAGAAGTAAATAAAGAAAGCTGGGATTAAAAAGTGGCTTCTTGAGATGCAGTTAAGAGTAAGAGAATAAAAGTCTAGAAGACCAACACACTTTTCTCTTGCTTATTCTGATAATGTCTGTCCCTCATAGCATAATCCTCATTGTTATGATTACAGAACCTCTGCCAATTTGCTTTGTTTTCTCAAACTTGGTATTGGCCAGGATTACAGCAGGTGGAAAGCAAATTTGTCCTTTCTAAGGAAAGAAGCAGAAATAGGGAGATTGGAATAAAAATCCCATCCTGCTAAAGATAGAGGAAGCCTTTAAAAATTATTCTCAGAGATCTTCATGATAACTGGCACTTAATTGCAATAAATTTATCATGTCCTATTATTAGAAGAATCGACATACTGAAGAAGTTGGAAGTAGGCCACTATAGCCTGTTTTCTTCCTTCAGTTATTGATATAGTTTGGATATGTGCCCTACCTAAATTTCATGTTTTATTTTAATCCCCAGTGTTAGAGATGGGGCCTTATGGAAAGTGACTGCATCAGAGGAGTGGATTTTTCATGAATGGTTTAGTACTATTCCCTTGGTGCTGTTCTCACAATAGTGAGTGAGCTCTCACAAGATATGGTTGTTTAAAAGTGTGTGGCACCTCCCCACTCATTCTCTTCTGCTCCTCTGTGGCCATGTGATGTGCCTGCTCCCTCTTCACCTTCTGTCATGATTGCAAGTTTCCTGAGGCCTCCCCAGAAGCCGAGCGGATGCTAGCATCATGCTTCCTGTACAGCCTACAGAACTGTGACTCAGTTAAAACTCTTTTCTTTATAAGTCACCCAGTCTTAGGTATTTCTTTATAGCAATGCAAGAAGAGACAAACACAGTTATAGAAACATTTTCTTTTCTTTCTTTTTTTTTTTTTTGTAGAAAGTACCTGATCTATACAGAGGAGCAATGAGATCAAGCTATTACAAAAGTTGGTATTTTTTAGACAGTTGGATGATCTGTTTGGGAATAATTGGCTGAATCTGCAGGGTTGCTGTGCTGTCCCCATTTGCATGGTTCTGGGATTCTGATAATAAGGCAGAGATTAGGTCACATATGCAAAGAGTCAGTTTCAACTAACTGGTTCCACTGGGCTTGGTACAGAATTAAGCATTCATGACTTTCTGAACGATCATAGCCCCATCGCAATACACCATTTAAGCAAGGACACTGTTTTCTTTACATAAGCAGAGACAATCAGCAGTGTATTTTTTAATTATTGTGCTTAGCTTCCCAATAGGTGAGATTAATATCAACTTCTGAAGCATAAAAGAATATTACCTTACCATTAGGTGATATTGAGAACAAGTAAACAAGCTTTCTTTTTCCCTTTTGGTGAATGTATATGTATTATTTCGTTCTCACACTACTATACAGAAATACCCAAGACTGGGTAATTTATAAAGGAAAGAGGTTTAATTGACTCACAGTTCCCCATGGCTGGGGAGGCCTCAAGAAACTTAAAATCATGGCAGAAAGCAAAGGGGAAGCAAGGACCTTCTTCACATGATGGCAGGAGAGAGAAGAGCAAGCAAGAACAAGGAAAACTGCCTTATGAGACCATCAGATCTCAGGAGAACTCACTCACTATCATGAGAACAGCATGGGGGAACCCCCTCCCCCATGATCCAATCACCTCCTCCCTTGACATGTGGGAATTATAATTGGAGATAAGATTTGGGTAGGCACACAGAGAAAAACCATTTCAGAATATATAAGGAAGTCTGGAGGAGAGGGAAACACTTAAGTCCCTAGTACCAGGGATAAGCTGCTTAGACAAATCCATACAGAAAATTTTGTATTCACTTTCAATAACTAAATGACACAGACCTTGGGGATAAAAGAGAAGCTTGAGAAAGAAGGAGTCTAGATGTTGATTAATAAGGAACGTGTCAAAAATTTCTAACAGATTTCATCTAGAAGTGAGTTTTTACCTTAAGTTTTCAGAGACAATTACATAATGACTAGCTAGAAATATAAGATGTTAGTTACAGTGAATTTACATCCTATCTCTTAATCAAGGAAATTTAAGCAAAGCAATTAGATAAAATAGGTCAACATTTTCTGCTAAATTGCAGATAAAATTAAGAATTAAAGGAAAAGAAACAGGTAAAACAACAAGCAACAGAAATAAATCTAGTGTCATATCTAATTAGTGCAAGCAACTAATTGAAAATTGAACCAGTGCTAGAATAAATTAAATTCACAACCCTTATTTGTACATCAGTAAAACCATATAATGAAAACAGCATTTGGGAAGATTCACAATTAGAACATTTAATGATACATAATATCTAAAATATCTGCAGTTTAAAAAAATACTTCATAATAATCAGCAAGAATTGAAAAAGTGTTTATTTCTAATTATTAAAACCCTCTTAGTTGAGATGATTATGGAAAATAAAGTTAATTCACATGTTAACAGAAATGACTTCTCTAGATAAGAATTCAGATTGACACCAAAACTTAAAAGCTGTATTACAATATTCCATTTCATGGAATAAGTAGAACCATCATTAAATTCTTTCAGCAATTTTATTATTGCTTATAATAGTATTTAAGGTAAAGCCACATTATTATTCCTATTTCATTAGAAACCATGGTGTTTGAAACTTAAAAAAATTCAGATTGTCTGTGAACTGCAAATTCTGGAATGAGTTCAAAATCACTTAAACTGAAAAACACCCAAAAGACCTATCACAGTGCAGTCCGTGAGGAGTGTGTTCTCTTTCTTTTATCCGTTTGAAATAGAAATTGTAAATTAGTAATTTTGAAATAGAAATTGTAGAACCTAACACACATAGAAATTACATGTTTATATAAATGATTATTTAATTCAGGGTCTTTTGAGCAGTCACAAGAGTGGCTTCTTTAACAACACATTTTTATTGTTGCTTATTTTACATATTTTTTTTTTTTAGAGATAGGGTCTCATTGTCTTGCCCAGACTGGAGTGCAGTGGTTTGATCATTGTTGATTATTCACAGGACAATACAGAGTTGCATGTGCTGAATATTGTTCCAATCTTGCCTTTAGAAACACTAGGTATATATTAAATATAATCAGTCTTTCATATCGGTGGATTCAGCATGTGTGGATTCAACCAACTCTGAATTGAAAATTTTGGGACAAGTATGATTGTTTCTGTACTGAACATATACAGACTCTTTTTACTTGTTATTATTTCCTAAAAAATAACAATATAACAGCTATTTACACATCATTTACATTGCATTAGGTATTAAAAGTAATCTAGAGATAATATAAAATGTAGTGGAGGATGTGCATAGGTTATATGTACATAGATTATTTTATATAAGGGACTTGAATATCAGTGGATTTTGGTACCTGTGGAGAATTTTGGCACTCTCATGTATATTGAGGGACTACCGTAATTCATGTTTAAAAGTCACGTATGACCACTGTATATTATTATAGCAAATATTTCTTCAGAAATAAGCTATAAACAGGTATGTGCTCTTCTTTGTTGTAGTTATGTTGGAGGACACTTTTGTAATGTGGCATTTGCAATACTCATGGGCATGAAAATATTTGTTCTGTCTTCCAGTCTGTTCTCAAAGACAATAAGAAGACCTTTTCTCTTGTACCAACAGCCAAAGACAAACAAACAAAAAAAGTAAAATAGAGAGGCTGAATCAACAGAAAAAACAAATACAATAGCAAAACAACAAAATTGCTCTCAAACTGGGGGTAATTCACAGAAATACAATAAACATTTCAAAGTTAAATTTTTGTTTAGTGAAAACTTTATAGAATTTTTAGGATGAATGGGACCTATTTGTAAAGACAAGCCTAACTCAATCCATTTACTTTTCAGAACTATGAGTCCAAATTTTAATAACTTTCTTAATTTTAAGACCTTTTAAATAACAGTTTGATTTTGTATTGTGAAATAACATACTTGAAATACATGATTGTTTCTTGTCCTTGTCCTTAAGAACTAACAAACCTGCATGTTCCGCACCTGTACCCCAGAACTTAAAGTATAATAAATAAATAAATAAATACTCGACCTTGCAAAGTGCTAGGATTGCAGACGTGAGCCACTGCACCCGGCTGGTGGATTTCCTGAGCAGAGGAGTTCCATACCAGCCTGGCCAACATGGCAAAATCCCATCTTTACTAAAAATACAAAAATTTAGCAAGGCATGGTGCCAGGTGCTACTTGAGAGGCTAAGGCACAAGAATTGCTTGAATCTGGGAGGCAGAAGTTGCAGTGATCCAAGGTCACACCACTGCACTCCATCCAGCCTGGGAGACACAGTGAGACTTTATCTAAAATAAGTAAATAAGTAAATAAAATAAAAACCCAAAACACTATTGTGTCTATTTGTTCTAACATGTCCAGGGGCAGAGAAACTGATGATGCAAAGGTGCTCATCTCTGTTTCCCCCAACTTGACACTAACTGCCTGCAGAAAAGTAAGTGGTGGGCATTGTTCAAACACAAGTAAGTTGACTGAAAAACCTGTAGTTCTCAGATGCAAAAGATTACAGTTAAAGTATAAAATTACCTATCTGGGGAGATAATTTTCTTTATGAAATTAAAGCATTCAAAAGTGCCCATATATACTGCACAATTTAGAAAACCACATGCATGCTTACGGGCAAGAGGCACATTCCGAAAAGGAATGAGAGCATCTCTGCCTGATCTCTAGAGTCAGTGCTAGGAGGAAGTGAACAGTCACTGAATGAAATAGAAAATCATTACAGGGGTTTCACAGCAGATCTCAGCAGGCAGAACAGAGAATCAGTAAACTCAAAGACAGCACAACTGCAATTAATCAGTCTGAGAAATAAGAAAAGAAATGAAGAAAAATGAACAGATATTAAGGAAAAACGACATTCTCACATATATAGAAGAGAAGTTTGTTACCAACAGACCTAAGAAATGCTAAAGGAATCCCTTACACTTGAAATAAAAGGATATTAGGTAGAAGTGAAAATCATACAAAGGAATAAGAAAAGGTGAAGGTGACTACGTTGGTAAATATAAAAGCAACTATTATTGTTATTTTAATTTGTAACTCCACTTTTTATTTTCTACATGATTTAAAAAGCAAATGAACAAAAATAATTATAAATATATCCTGTCAAATAATGTATAAAGAAGTAATTTGTGACATAAGAAAAATAAAGGGGAGAAGCAATTCTATAGGAATAGAAATTTGTATATCATTGAAGGTAAGTTGGCTTTAGTGAAAACTAGATTGTTATACATTCAGTATGTTAATTATAATTCCTGTTAGCCACTAAGAAAATATCTATCTATTTATTACATATCTAGCTATCTATCTAGCTATAGCTACTTACATACACTTCTACAAATGTATACATATATAATATATTATCTTCTCATTTCCTTTTTTGTGTATATACTATACACATAACTGTATATAATATATATTTTTGTGTGTATGTAAGTACATGTATAATGAAGAATGAATAAACATTATACATATATAATATGTATGGACAATTATATACACACAAAATGAAAGATGAAGGGACTCAAAAACAGTATACTACAAAAACAACAATATCAACTAAACATGAAAGAAAGATGTAGTGGAAGCACTGAGGAATGAAAAGGCAGAAGGCACTGAAAATAAATAATAAAATGTCCGAAGTAAATCCTTCCTTATATGTTATTACTTTAAGTGTAAATAGACCAAACTCTCTAATAAAATTGCTGAGATTATCAAAATGGATTGGGCGCAGTGGCTCACACCTGTAATCCCAGAACTTTGGGAGGCCGAGATGGGTGGATCATGAGGTCAGGAGTTCAAGACCAGCTTGGCCAAGATGGTGAAACCCCATTTCTACTAAAAGCTACAAAAATTAGCCAGGCCTGGTGGCAGGTGCCTGTAATCCCAGCTACTTGGGATGCTGAGGCAGGAGAATCGCTTGGACCTGGGCAACAGAGGTTGCAGTGAGCCAAGATCACCCTACTGCACTCCAGCCTGGGCGACAGAATGAGACTCCATCTCAAAAAACAAACAAACAAACAAAGTCATCCAATTGGTATATTCTTTACAGAGACTTACTTTAGATCTCGTGAGACAAATAGGCTGAAAGTGAAGGAATGGAAAAATACGTTTCATAATCAAGGAGAGCTGGGGTGGCAAAATTAATAATGTACAACATAGAATTTAAGCCCAAATCCTTTACAAGAAACAAAGTAAATTAAAGGGCCAACTAATTAAAACACCATTATTCATATATACACCAAATAACAGAACCCCAAAACATATAAAGCAAACAAAATAATAGATGGAAACTTCAATAACCCCTAATAGAGATTCAACATTTAGACAGAAGGTCAATAAGAAAAGAAAGAACTTGAACATTACAAACTACCTAGATCTAACAGTCATAAAGAGAATACTCTACCCAACAATGGCAGAATACACATTCTTCCCAACTGTACACGGAACATAATCTAAGATATGCTATATGTTAGTCCACAAAACATGATTTATTAAATTTAAAAATATTGAAATTATACAAAGTATCTTCTCCAAGCACAACTGACTAAAGCTAGAAATTAATATTTGTAAAGAGCAAAACTCACAAATGTGAGTAAATTAAACACAGCACTAAAACAATGGGTTAAAGAAAAAATGTCAAAGGGAATTAGAAAGCACTTCAAGCAAAATAGAAACAAACAAACAAACAAACAGAAAACATACCAAAACTTATTGATAGCAACAGGAGACAGACAAATTCCTAGGCAGACAGGGACAGATCCCCAGTGAAACCCGACCTTAAAGCCAAAGACAGCTTGAAGCCTGAAAACGGATCTGCCAGTTCCCAGTAGAGTCCAGGACCAGAGTGAAAACTTCCTCAATGCCATTTAGCCAATTGAATGGTGTTCTTTCAGGCCCGCCACTGGCCCTTTCAGCATGCACTTCCCCATTCTAGGCCTTAAAAACCCCAGACTCAGCCTCACAGATGGCTACTTGCTTCTGGGCCGCTTCTCACGCAGAGGACTACCCACTCTCAGGTCCCTTGTGTGCTGAAAGCTTTCCTTCTGTTACTCAATAAAATTCTTCTCCTTCCTAGTTACTCTCCAGTGTCCAACTACCTTATTCCTCTTGGTGGAGGAACAAGAACCCAGAACTTACCAAATGGCAAGTGCCAAAAGAGCTGTAACACACCCCAGTTCACTGAGCTGTGGGCAGCAAGAATGAGGGACAGCTGTAACATTTCTCGGGGGCTCAGACCTCAGAACTTCCCAGGAGACAGCTGTACAGCCCTTTGGAGCTCCGCGGTTGCTGGCATCTCCGAGTTTTCCGGTGCCACCACATTCCCCTTGCCCAGATGCCGGCGCCCAAGCTGGTCACAGCATGCCTGGTCCAGCCACAGGCTGAGCGAGGGTCCTGCTGCAGGCGTGGGAGCCAGGCTAGGGCACAAACTGAGCACAGCCTACTGGACCAAGCAGTGGAGTGAGCCCAGCAGTCCCAAGTGAGGCCCAGACAGAGGTCATGGTGGCCGCAGAGATTTCCAGCTGGAGAAGCGGCACCGAAGAAATCCTGTAATACTGTAACCCTCACTCCTACTCACTGAACAAAGGGGGAGAAAAAAAGATGCTTGAGCGCCATTCCCTCCTGCATACCAAACTACAAAAGCCACAAAATTATGAGATGCTTTGAAAGCAGTGTTCGGAAGGAATCATAAATGCCTGCATTAAAAAGAAGAAAGATCTCAAATGAATAACCTAACTGTACAATTTAAGGATCTAGTGGGCAAAAGGAACAAACTAAACCTAAAGGTAGCAGAAGGTAATAAAGTTTAGAGAAAGCTGACAAAATAGAGAACAGAAAAAAAAAATAGAATCAAGAAAAACAAAAGTTGTTTCCTTGAAAAGATCCACAAAATTTATAAGCCTTTAGCTAAACTGACAAAGAAAATAAAGAAAAAGAATTAAAATCTGAAATAAAGGTGGATGTATTACTACTGACCTTAGAGGAGTAAAAAAGACTATAAATGAACACTATGAAATAAAAGTATGCCATAAAATAGATATCCTAGATGAAATTAACAATTTTCTAGGAACACACAAACTATCAAAAGTGACTCAAGAAGAAATACAATATCTGAACAAATCTATAACATGTAAATAGATTAAATCAATTAAAAAAATAGAAAGGAAAGTCCAGGATGGACCAGCAGGCTTAACTGGTGATTTCTAACAAATATCTAAAGAAAAATTGACCAAAATTTTAAAATAATTTCCAAAAAGAGGAGGGAACATTTTCTAACTAATTCTTTGAGGCTAGATATCTAAGCTAACTATAGCAAAAGAAAATAAAATTACAGATCCATATCTCTTATAAACATAAATTCAAATGTCCTTAACAAAATACTAACAAATAAAATCAAAGAACATATTTAAAAGATTATACAATATAACCAAGTGGGTAATCCCAGGAATGCAAGTGTGTTTCAACATAAGAGAATCGAACTGTGTAATATAGTGACTAAGAGGACATAAGGGGAAAAATACATGATCATATCAATTGAAGTGAAAAATTATTTGGCAGAACCTAACATCTTATCATGTAAAAAAGGCTCAGACAACAAAGAATAGAAGGAGGCTTTCTAAATATGAAGTCCTTTCATTAAAAACCCCCAGCTAACATCTTGTTCACTAGTGAATACTGAAAGCTTTCTTTTTAAGATCAGAAAAAGGACAAGGATGCCTACTAGTCAACATTTTACCGGAAGTTCTAGCCAGAGAAATTAGACAATAAAGAGAAATTTAAAAACATCCAAATTGGTTAGGAGGATATAAAACCATCTCTCTTTGCAGATGATATGATGCTGTCTGGGATGGTTAGTTTTAAACTGTGTCAACTCGGCTAGGCAATAGTACCCAATTATTTAATCAAACACTAGGTTTTGCTGTAAAGGTATATTTTTAAATAATGATGTAAAATTTTTATTGCATTTTAATGATCCTCCAAAAGATAATATAAACAAAGTATATGCAATCAAATGTGGTTAATATCTATAACCATTTGATTTAGAGCCTATGCACCCATATAGTCTGAATAATAAGGATTTAGATGACATCCATGGAAACCTGAAAAGGTTTTGAGAATTTTGTACCAGCAGAAACACTGCCAACTTGGGCTGACAGGAACCGAAATGGGACAAAATGAAGTTACAATGACTCTGAGGATAGAGACATGGATGCAAAGGCCAGAGAGCAAAGCAAGGATTCCAGAAGTCAGGGCTGAAGAATTCTGTGAGAGGCAAGGGCTGATAAAGCGTATGTGGGCAAGATACCAGGGCTGTCATCCAGGAGAACCGAAACAGCAGAGCCACCACCCTGGAAGACTGAGAGAGTAAGGCCACTGTCCTGGGGGGATAAGAGGACAGACACTGAGCTACAGGGCATTCCCTTCAAATTTTAGAGGCTAACAGATGTGGCCCTGCCGGGCTGTAAACTTGCTTTAGACCAGTAACACCTTTATTCCTTCCACTTTCTCCCCTTCAGAATGGAAATGTCTGTCCTGTGCCTGCCCCACTGTTGTACTTTAGAAGCACATATCTTGTTTTCTAGCTTCACAAGTCTGTCAATAGAGAGGAATTTTGTCCCAGGATGTACCATATTCAGAGTCTCAGCCACACTTGATGTAGATGATTTAAATGTTGAAATATGGGGGTTTTCCTAACTTGATATTTAGCTATTTGGGTTTTAGAGTTGGCCCTGGAGTGGCTTATACATTTTTGTCATGTTGGGATGGAGTGAATGCATTTTGTATATGGGCTGGATGTGAATTTTGGGGGTCCAAAGGACAGACTCTACTGAAATGAATAATGTCTTCCCCCCCAAGTTTGTGTTTACTCAGAACATTAGAGTGTGACCTTATTTGGAAATATAGTCTTTGTAGATGTAATTTGTTAATATGAGGCCATCCTGAATTAGCATGGCCTTAATCCAATGGCCATTATCCTTATAAGAAGAAAGGAATATAGAAGGGAATACAGGCATTCAAAGTTGGAAGCAGGGATTGGAATTATGCTACCAAAAACCAAGACATACCAATAATTTCTAGCAACTACCAGAGGCTAGCAAGAGGGATGGGGAGATCCTTTCCAATGTGTTGAGAAGGCATGGCCTTGTGGAGACTGGTTTTAGGCTTCTAGTCTCAAGAACTCTAACACGATTATTTTGCTGCTTTAAGCCATTCAGTTTGTGGTGCTTTGTTATGACAGCCTTAGGAAAATAATATGCTACATATAGGAAATCCTAAACAATTCACAAAACTACTAGATGTAGTAAATTAATTCAGCAAAGTTACTGAGTATGTGATCAAGAAACCAAAATCAGTTGTGTTTGTATCATCAGCAATGAACTATGTGAAAAGGAAAATAAGAAAACAATATCATTGACAATAATCAAAAGAATTTTTATTCAAAAGAATAAAATAACTAGAGATAAATGTAACCAAAATGATGAAAAACTTGTACAATATAAATTACAAAACATTGCTGAAAGAAATAAATAGAAATATATTCTATGTTTATGAAATGGAAGATGTAATATTTTTAAGATATCAATAGTATCCAAAATGATTTACAAATTCCATGCAATTTCTATAAAAACTCCTATGACTTTTTTGTAGAAATTGACATGTTAATCTTCAAAATCTTAGAGAATTACAAGGAGCCTTGAATAGCCAAACAATCTTGGAAAAAAGAATGAAGTTAGAGTACTCCCACTTTTCAATTTCCAAACTTACTACGAAGCTCAGTGATTAAAACAATATGGTAATGGAATGAGGATAGGCATACAGACCAATGGAATAGAACTGAGGGTCCTGAAATAAACCTACATGTATATATGGCCATTTGATTTTCAAATACAGTGCCAAACTAGTCAATGGGAAATAGTAGTCTTTTCAACAAATGATGCTGGGACAAATGTATATCACATACAAAAGAATGAAGTTGACTCCCGCCTTAGAGCATATGCAAAAATTTACTCAAAATAGTTTTGTGACCTAAATGTAAAGTTCAAATCATACAGCTCTTAGAAGTCAGCATATGGGTAAATCTTCATGACCTTAGATTAGGTACTAGGGCCTTAAATATAATACCAAAAGAAAAAGCAATG
This sequence comes from Homo sapiens, assembly GCF_000001405.40. NCBI lineage: Eukaryota > Metazoa > Chordata > Mammalia > Primates > Hominidae > Homo > Homo sapiens. The sequence goes on from NC_000005.10 coordinate 85,186,341, forward strand.
ACCATGAAACTACATAAATTGGACTTGATCGAAATTAAAACACTTGCATATCAAAGGATATTGTCATGAAAATAAGAAGGAAATCTTCAGAACGGGCAAAGATATTTGCAAATTATATATCTGATAAATATTTATTATTCAGAATATAAGGAATTTTTATACCTCAGTAAAAAAAAGACTGATGACCCAGTTAAAAAATTGCCAAAGGACTGATTAGACATTTCTCCAAAGAAGACAGACAAGTGGCCAAGAAGCACATGGAAAGATGCTGGACATTATTAGCCATTAGGAAAACACAATTCAAAACCACAGTAAGGTGCCACATCATACCCACTAGGATGGCTGTAACAAAAACACACATCATCGGAGAGAATGCAAAATGGTACAGTCACAGCCATTGGGAAAAACAATTTGGTGGTTCTTCAAAAAGATAAACAAAGAATTACCATGTGACTCCAGAATTCTCCCAATTCCACATATCTCACAAAATTTGAGAAAAGATACTCAAGTACATGTGCATAGCAGCACTATTCACAACAGCCAAAAGATGAAACAGACCAAATATCTACCAGCACATGAATAAACAGAGGTGAATATTCTTGCAATGAATTATTCAACTATAAAAATGATTAAGATACTTATACATGCTACAATGTGAATGAATCCCCAAAACATTACGTTAAGAGGAAAAAAAACAGACACAAAAGGCTACATATTATATAATTTTATCTATATAAAATATCCAAAATATACATGCATAGCGACAGAACACAGATTGGAAGTTGCTATAAACTGGGGAAAGTAGGAAGTGAGACGTGGGTGAAATTGCTTAATGGGTAGGGGGCTTTACTTTGGAGTGATGTATGTGCTTTGAAACTAGACAGGGGCAGTCATCTAAATGTCACTGAATTGTTCCATTTACAATTGTTATTTTATATAATGAATTTTACTTCAACTTTACTAAATAATATTTCCTGTAAATATTTCAGCATACTATCATCAAAATAATATACTAACCTGATAATATAGTTTGCTCTATCTAGCTTCATCCTCTTTGTTTTTGTTTCACTCATTTATTTCATTAATTATAATCAACACAATTTCTAAGTATTGAGTTTACTTGTCTCACTAAAGTAATAACTGATGTGATAGACTACAGCACCAGGAAGCTTGAGCTAATACCGTATTGCCCAAGTTATAAGCTTTTTCAACGCACCTTATTTTGTTGTTACTGTTATTTTTGTTCTGTTTTGTTTTATTTTAGGCTTTCAGCAGACTGAAGCCGTAGTTTTTAGTTTCTGTTTCTAGTGATAAGCAGAAAGGAGAGATGAGGAAGGGGCTTTACCAGAAACAAAAACTAAGAAACTATTCTCTCACTTGGACACCCCTCTGGCTTGGCCCAAAGCCCCGAGTAAACAAGCTCTTACCATGAAGGATGCTCCAAAGACTTACAGGTCAACTGCCAGGGTTGAAAGCAAAGCTCAAATATATTTTGGGCAAGTTAATCTTTTTCGTAACTTTTCCTGCACAGCCTTAGTGTCTTATGCAGAAGAAACATTCGGTAATGCCATTCATTGCTCTACACTTTTCTAGCATCTGATTGTTTAGAAAAGTATTGCAAGCTCGGTGCAGTGGCTCTCAACTGTAATCCCAGCAGTTTTGCAGGCTGAAGCAAGAGGACTGTTTAAGCCCAGGAAATCGAGGTTGCAATGAGCTATGACCCTGCCACTGCATTCCAGCCTGAGTGACGGAGAGAGACCCTGTCTCCAAAAAAAAAAAAAAAAACAAAAAAAAAAGCTTTGTAAATTAAGCTGTAGAATACTAGAATACTTCATGCAATTTATAAAAAGAAGATTAACATTCAAGACATTAATTGTAACACAAATTATTTTTATATAAATGTATATAATTCAAATTATAAAGCAAATTAAAAGTTTATATAATATATATAATATATGTGTGTATTATATAAACTTTTAATGATCAACCTAGAACATAATCTAAATTGTTGAGAGCTAGGTAGAAATTTGAATATCATGGGAAAGTTTTTTATCTCTCTCGACATTTTTCTTACCAATAAATGAGAGCTGGAAAAAAATCTAGTTTCATGCTTGTCTGCCTTCCACAGTGCAGTGCTCCTTATAACAGTAGCATTTTGTAGATAGTGGTTCAGCTTAGATTTCACTGGAGAAGAAATGTTAAGGACCGTGTCTAACTTGTGTATATTGGTGCATTGGAAAATGAAGAAATGCAGTTACAAATTCACAGTACATTGCTCAATTGTTCAAGGACTGTGGAATTGGAAAAACAAAATTGACTTCTAGAAAATTTTACAAAAATAAGGATGATTAAAAGCAAACTTGGATATCTCTTTTCAAAATTCAAAAGCTGTGCTATTTGTTACAGATTTCAGGTGTAATGCTTGCTATTTCTCGTTTAATGTAGGTAAAAATAGTGTTGCCTTTTAGTCTCATGGAAAAATATATTTAAAAAAGAAAATAATGAGAACTATCCCATGCAAACAAAGTGCTGGTCTTTAAATTTTCTTTCCAAATAGAAAAAATATTAAAATATGTTTTATTTGTCAAAGTCTCTTATAATAAAATGTAAATAGCCTTGTAACTGCCAGTTTTCATTTATATAAGTCTGCTCACAGGTGAGTATATCAGAATGTCTTTATTATTCCAGAATGGAGATGCTGTTGGTATTGATGCAACCTATTTGATGTGTCATAGAGGAGGAAAAAAAACAATAAACTTTGCATGAGTGTTCCGTATCAGCAGTTAAGAGATAAGTCATTTCCTCTAAGGACAATTTTTGTCCTTAAATAAGCAAAAGCATCACATTTTTAAAAATCCATACTGCAGACAAACAAAATATTAAGCACATAACAGTTTGTGTTACTATTTGTCCTAATTTAATAATTATTAAATAAATAAGTACATGTTTCCTCTCAAGCTACAGAAATTTCGTCAAATGGCTACAAAGGCTAATTTAAACAGAAGTTTTATTTTTTTCTTCGAAATAGTATCTATTTTAAATATAAAATTTTATTTTTATTTATTAATTTAAGGGAAATGTGTAAATTTAGCCACTACTTACCAATGAGTTAAATGTACTTAAAAAATTTTAAAAAGTAATTCTCAATTTTTAAATTTCATTTATTTATTTTTACTTTTTGTATGTAGAAAAGCAATTTATTCCATTTTGAGCACTTAGACAGTTAGTCATGGAGAGTACCAGGCTTGCTGGTGAAACAGGTCACACCCAAAATGGAGATGGCATCGAACTAGTAGCCAAGGACTAGCTCCTAACAAAAAACAGTTTTTATCAAGGATTAATTTAAAAACAAATAACAGTTATTGATCTACTCTTCTTAACCTGACAGTCTACCTGTGGTATAACTGTCAGGTAAGATCATACATCCCTACAAGCTCGTGTTCCTAAGTTGTTTTTAAAATAAACAAACAAACATCATTTCATAGAAAGGAAAAAATATAAAAACAGTTCAAGAAATACACTAACAAGCAAAAATGTATGGGGAAAGAGAAACGTGTAGTTTTGAATTAACTGAAGAAAACAAGAGGAAACTGGTCTGCATACGAAAATGTACGTCCTGGAAAGTCAGGTGTGAACATTTCAGAGCAGGAATCTATTTGACTTGGATCTCCCTATTTCCTTATTAGAAATGATAGCTTGCAGTATTTATATTTCATGGCTCAGAGACCTATCTCCTTTGTCTCTATTCCTTACTCACTCGAGCCTTTACTTAAATCACTCTGAAAAACGTGGAGACACAGCATAAGAAGAAAACTAATCACACATAATATTTTCCTTTCTGTAACTGAAGTAGTTTCTTCGGTTTCCCTTGTCCTTAACAGTGTTTCTTATCCTTTAGACCTAAAAAAAGTTTCTGAGTTCCTTTTATTTTCTTCTTGTGATCATGAGAAACAGAATATATTTTAAAATAGTCCCAAGGATCATCTGTACCTTTTAAAGCTAAGTTTCCCTTTCTGTAACTTTATAGAAAGGGAAATTTTATGGGTTTGTTACCAGAAAATCACTGAAGAAAATTAAAATGTAAGTCTGTGGCTTTGGTGCATCAAGTGTCTCCCAGTTAATATTTAGAACATACTCATTATTTGGGCTAATAGCATTTTTGGTGGTACCTGTTATACAGGGGTAGTGTGTTTTTAAACCACTGTTAAATCGATCTCAGGGTTGAGCGACAAATAAAGAGAAGTCTACAATCACTAGATGTACAGACATATCTAGGGCTCTTATTCTTCTGAATCTATGCTTCCTTCAAGGTCTTCATCACTATAAATGATCTCTAATATTTGCCACACTACTTGCAGGACATTGTCTTGTAATACAGGACAAATCATCCAAGTTCATTGGGATTCCATGAGAAATCAGGTATCTTGGGAATGAGATGACCATGAATAGACAACAACTCTGGTGGCCTATTTTCTGAATCTTATGAGGATTATTCCTCTCCAATTATACTTAAGTCTCAGACATTCAGTCTGTAATCAGTACCACCGGAAGCCAGAAACATCTTATTCTGAGGCAACCACTGAACCTGGAATAGCTTATCCTTATGTTGATTCAAAGGAATGCAACTTAAATTTCTCAATTTACACGCCATTTCATTGTAAGGAAAATGAAGAAAAAAATATGATTTAAAAATATTTAGACACTTCAGTGTTTGCCATGATATACACTTTAGAATTCAGCAGGGGTTCAAATTTTAATAGCAACATTGAAATAATTTTCAAACAGCACAGCCTCAGATATATCGATATACATATTTAGCACATGATTAAAAGGAAGATGAAGAGTTGAATCTTAGGGATCAATCAACTATTGCCAAGTTAAGAAATGATTTTCTTTTTTTTTTTTTGAAGTAAAAGTGATTGTCTTAAGAAAGTCTATATAGTATCTCTCAGTTCAGAGATTTACTGACTTTGTAGAAAATGAAGAGGGAAAATACAGGGCGTAGAAAGATTATAAACAGTAATGATATAGTTAATGATGAACTAATATGTATTAAAAGCTTTTGGTTTTGCATGGCATTTAAACATACACCACCCTCCTGTTTCTCCACAGCAAACTTCTTAAGTTTGTATCTCATCAAAACACATTTGATGAGAAAATGTTTTAAATATTTACATCTTACTGATTTATACTGAAGATCAGAGATTAAATGACTATGCTATGGTCATAAGCAGTGTACCAGGATTTAAACTTAAGTACTCATCTCAAAACTTACCTGTTTTATTAAACAAAACTGCCTTTATCATGCTTTAGGGTCACCAAATCAATACCATTCCTCAAAAGAGAAAATTGAGACTAGCCTGTAGGTCTCCAACATTCATGCTGGCAAATATTTATTCCAACATTATCCACTTTATTCCAACATATTATTTATCTTGAAAAATAAGCTGAAAATGAGTATAAAATGAGAATTTAACCTACAAATGGTATATTCTGTGCATTAGAACTTCTGATACAGAGGACATTTTTAAAATAAGTTATATAGAAATGAAAATACTGAAACAGTTTTACTTATCCTTTAAACTGAAAAAAAAGTTTCTCAATTTCTTTTCATTTCTTCTTGTGATCATGACAAACAGAATATATTTTTAAATAGTAGTAAGGGTCATCTGTACCTTTTTAAGCTAAGTGATGTTATTTTTATCTTTCTATGTGACAAAGCAAAATTAATCATTCCTAATTTTTGCAAGAAGCTGACATGTGCCAGAAAATGATCTTATTATAATTATCCATAACACTTGAAGAGACATTCAGGATGTTATTCATCAGCCAATTCAATGTTCTTGGATTTTAACATTCCATTTTAATTTAATATGAATGATGGTTTCTCAGCTTGGTCAGCAAAAGACATTTTGTATAATCATTTAGCAATGTAGGAGAAGATATGACACTAGGTTATTCCTTCATTTTTACTGACTGTATAAGCACTTTAGATATTTAACTAACAATTTCTTCACCTGATATAGAACAACTATAAAGTTAACACATTGGGAATATTTAGCAATCTGTTTAATTATTACTTGGAACAAAATTAAAAATCTAATATAGATATAGAAATATCTGTCTGATATTTCTTTAAAAACATACTCTCATTATTTTTGAGTAATTTAATTTCTCATACAGTTCTGACTTGCAAATTTCTACTTAATTTATTTGTAAAGTAATATACAACAATTTGGCATGTTAGTTGTGATGACTGACAGTCAAATGATCAAACTGATTCTAGGTGAATTTCCTAATATGCCTAGTTATGGTTCTGGGACTTGACTACTGGTCTAAGATCATCATATTTGTAGCATGCTGGTCAGTGGAATTGAGAAGCTGAAAAACCATTCAGATATTTATTTATTGTATGAAACTATGTCTAAATAGTTTATCTAATCCTTGTTTATTTTTTAATTCAAAGGATTAAATTTACATATAAGATTTTCCCCACTTAGATAATATAATGTGAGTTCATTGCAATAACAACTGTTACCATGCTGAAGATAATAAACTAAGACCTCAAAGGGACTAGGATTTTGTCTCTCTATGAAGTGATAAAGGGATCGTAGTACACCAGCTTTATTCTAAGCTTCTATTATTGTCAAAAGTGTTTGATATTTTTAATTTCTTGAGGGAATTAGAAAAATACACCTAAATCCTCCAATTTTAAATTTGAAGACACTTGGATTTAACACTTACTGAACTACTAATTTACAAAGAAATGCAATGTTCTATAAGACACTGTAGTGGATACATAACAATGTACCTGTTGCACCTGTCCTGCCATAATAACTCTAGTGGACAAGATCAGATGGAAACAGTTCCTGAAATTCAAACACTAAGGGGTTAGTTCCACAGAAGTGGTGTGGTAGATTGTCAAATGGACAGAATTACTTCTCATCTTCTATCCAGGTCCATTCACAATGTGATGTTTTTTAGCTTCTCTTATTAACAGGTAAAATTTATTTCTCCACCCCTCAAATGTGCATTGGCCTAGTGATAGCTTTGGCCAATAGAAGGTGGCAGAAGTGAAGTTGTGTTATGCTTTCACTTTCTTTTTAAAACCTGGCAATGCAATCATGTGAACAAGACTAGGCCAGTTTTCTAAAAATGAGCTACCACATAGAACAAAATCAAAGCAGCCAATACCAAGCAGACTCTCAGAAACAGACCCAATTAGTTGACCATCAGCTTACAGTAAATGCAGGGATTACAGGTGGGAGCCACTGCACCTGACTAATTTTTGTATTTTTTTTAGTTTCACCATGTTGGTCAGGCTGGTCTTGAACTCCTGACTTCAGGTGATCTGCCTACCTCAGCCTCCCAGACTGCTGGGATTACAGGTGTGAGTCACCACACCCAGCCTACAATATATTATATAATGATAATAATAATAATAATAATAATAAATCATTATTATTATTTATTAGTTTAAGAAATATATATGTACGTATATACGTACATATACGTATATATACTTATATACATATAAGTACATATATGTATATATGTATATATGTACGTATATGTATATATGTACATATATGTATCTACGCGTGTATATACATATATGTATATATACATATACGTATGTGTGGATATGTGTATATATGTATATATACATACACGTATGTGTGGATATGTGTATATATACATACACGTATGTGTGTATATGTGTATATATACATACACGTATGTGTGTATGTGTATATATAATACACGTATGTGTGTATGGGTATATATACATATACGTATGTGTGTATATGTGTATATATGCATATATGTATGTGTATATGTGTATATATGCATATATGTATGTGTATATATATGCATGTGTGTATATATGTGTATATATACGTGTATATATACATGTACATTTGTGTGTATGTATATATGTGTGTGTGTGTGTATATATATATTTCTTAGGCCAGCGCCTTTGTATAAGCAATATATATATAGCCAAATGATAGATCACATTCTCCCTGCCCCATCCTAGTACTCTGTAACAGGCACTAACACGAGTAATTAACTAATCTAGGTCCATTTAAACCTCCTGGGAAACCTAAGCCTTGTTTTATACATTTCAAAAGTCTTTCAATTTCAGTCACAATCTGTTATCATTAACAATTATCTTAATTATATGCCTGATTTATATAACATCTAGAAATCAATGACCCCAATTTAAGAAGCTATGTCTCTGCTCTCACAGAAATCTTAAGTAGCAAATCCAACACTTTAGCTAACACTAAAGTTTACCAAGGTCTACTACCTCTGTCTAAAGATTTTCCAGATTCGTTCCACCATCTCCAAGGCCAGCACCTTTGTGCAAGCAATCTTCTTTCCTCACGTGAACCAACTGCTACAATGGCCTCAAAACTGATTTTCCAATTCCCACTTTGATATTACCAACTATTTTCCAGACAGCAGAAAACATAGTTATTTAGAAACAATTGAAATTACATTTCTACCACATTTAGGTACCTTTTGTTGTCTTTCATTATACTTAGAATAAAATTCAGACTTCTAGTCATCAGTTAAGAGGTTCTACATCAACACATCCCAGCTATTCTCCATGCCATAGTGAAGTTTCAAGAAAGAGTATTTCACTTTTGTTTCTTGAAAATTGAAAATATTCCTCTGTGTGTGTGTGTGTGTGTGTGTGTGTGTGTGTTTCTGCTTCATAATATTTGCATTTGCTTTCCCTCCACATAAAATACCTTTTTTTTTTTTTTTTTCTGAGACGGAGTCTCGCTCTGTCGCCCAGACTGCAGTGCAATGGCGCCATCTGGGCTCACTGCAAGCTCCGCCTCCCGGGTTCACGCCATTCTCCTGCCTCTCCAGAGTAGCTGGGACTACAGGCGCCGGCCACCATGCCTGGCTAATTTTTTTTTGTATTTTTAGTAGAGATGGGGTTTCACCATGTTAGCCAGGATGATCTCGATCTCCTGACCTCGAAATCCGCCCTCCTCGGCCTCCCAAAGTGCTGGGATTACAAGCGTGAGCCACCGCTCCCGGCCCTAAAATACCTTTTTTATAATTCTTCACTTGACTACTCCTTACTGTTCTTTAGCTCATGTCCTGACTCTTCGCGGTGAGTGCTATGATCCCTTCCTCTATGCAAACCTCTCTTCTCTGGTCCTCTCTATCAGATTATCCTGATTATTTATAATATGCCACTCTTCATTTGAAAGTGTCTTGTTTGCTAAATAGTACATTCTAAATTCTTTTTTATCCCCTTCTACTAGATTGTAACCTGCATGAGAGGTTCAGGTCATCATTGTGCATGCCTAGGTTAAATCTAGGTCAGTGACTATGGTACACCTGTCACATATTTGTCATCAAAGATATATAACTGAACTACTGAGTGACCAAAATAAATACAGTAACATTGTTCCAAAACATTTAATTTGGAGCTAATATAAAGCACATTTGGGTCAATTTTCAACATTTTCTAGCTTTTTCTGCGAGCTTCACTTTAAATATAGCTGAAATCAATAAAGGGTTACTAATGTTGAGCAAAGGATTAAAAATTGAAGTAACTTAGTGTAAAACATTTTAAACTTTGCCAAAGTGATTGTATAGTGAACTGAAGAAACTGACTTTTAAAATAACTTTTAAAAATAAAAGTTATTTTTATTTGGGAAATAATTCAGAAACTTTAGTAAAATCATAAAGGCCTTTACTTTAAAGCAAAGAAAAAAATTACTTTTAAACAAAATTAACAATCCCCGATACAAGGATCCTGGTTATTTATTTAATTACACCAAAGCTTTGATAAATACAAGACATAAGAAAATCACTTATTTAAATATCTGAAATGAAATTTAATTTTTAAACTTGGTTTTATTTCGTGAAAGTACACAGAGCAATTCTGTGTAATATATGTTATAATAAATTATATTTGTATAGTTAATTCCACATGTGATTGTTCTTGTTATAAATACTAGGAAAATATTCCATAAAATTTTTATTTTTGAATGTATGACTTTCCTTGTTCATTTGTTTATGACATGTTGTTTTTTGCTGTTGTCATTTATGTTTGTTACGTAGACAGGTTTGAGATTTTTAAATTCAGTAAAATGCTATTTTTAGATGTACAAAAGTATTCAGTAATATACTAACTACTACAATCAAGATACTGAATATTTTCAAAACCTCAAAAAGTTGCCTAAAGTCCCTCTGTAGGTAATTTTCTCTCCTTATGCTCAGATCCCGTAAATCAGTAATTGTGTCTTTCTTTACAGTTTTTCCTTTTACATAATGTCATTTATATAGAAATTTATTTTTAGTCTTTTCAACCTGGTTTTGTTCAAATTGCTTAATACTTTGAGATTCACTCGCGTTGTTTCATTTAACAGAAGTGTGTTCCTTCTGCCACTTAGTAGTATCCTATTGCATGGATACATTGCAGTTTGTGTAATTCAGTCACCAGTTGATGGATATTTGAGTGCTCTCTAGTTTTGGTGATTATGGATAATTCTGCCATATACATCAATGCAGAGGTCCTTTTGAGAACATATGCTATTTATTTAAGAGTAGAATTGCTAGTAAGAATATGTTTAATTTTGAAAGAAATTCTCAAACTGTTTTCCAAAGTGAGAATATTCTCTTTACTTATCACCATCAGTGTATGAGAGTTCCAATTGCTCTGCAACCTTAAAAGCGTTAATAGGGTTTATGTAGTTGTTGTCTACACTAGCAGGTATGTAGTTGGCATTTATTGTGATTTTAATTTGCATTTTCATAAGGACTAATAATGCCGAATAGTTTTTTCCTAAGTTTTTTTTGCCATTATTTCTCACCTTTGGTGAATTGTTCATTTAAATAAGTTGCCCAGTTTAAAATTTGGATTTTGTGTCCTCTTATAATTAAATTGTTAGGGTTCTTTATATGATCCTCATAAAGATCCTTTACCAGACATGTGTTTTGAAATATCTTTGAGGTCTGTTGTTATTGTTTCAATTTCCTAGTCTTTCAAAGAGTTGAACCTTTTAAAGTCCAATTTTTTTTTCTTTTGTAGTTCATGCCTTTTTATGTACTGTATAAGACATCTTTGTCAAACTCAAGATTGTAAGAATGTTCTGTTTACCTTTAGATGTTTTATTTTCTTAACTCTTACATTTACAGCTATGAACCATATCAAGATAATTTTTTGTATATTGTCAAGTAAAGGTAGAGATTTTCTTTTTTATTGAAATATGGATATTTAGTTGCTTCAACATCATTTATTTGAAAGATACATCTTTTTCCATTTAATTATCTTGACACGTATGTTCAAAATTACATAAAGGTGGGTCGGCTTTTGTAATCTCTGTTCTGATCCAATCGTCTCTAGGGCTCATGGTTTTCTTCTTTTTTATTGTTTTTGTTTTGATTCACCTTTTTATTTTTAAATTTTATGAATACATAATATTTTCATATATTATGGAGTATATGTAATATTCTGACACAAGGAAACAGTGTGTAGTGATCAAAACAGGATAATTGGGATACTCATCACCTTAAACATTTATCATTTATTTGTGTTAGAAACATTCCAACTATACCCCTCTAGTTATTTTGAAATATATAACTAAATTATTTTTATTTATAGTTACCCTATTGTGCTATGAAACATTAGATTTTATTTCTTCTATCTGACTGTATTTTTGTATGCATTAACCAATGCCTATTTATTCGCCCCTCCTTCTTTATCTTTCCAGCCTCTGGTAGCCATCATTCTACTCTCTACCTCCATGAGATCAATTTTTTTAAGCTCCCACACTTGAGTGAGAATATGCGATATTTGTATTTCTGTGCCTGGCTGATTTCACTTAACACAATTTCCTTCAGTTCAATCCATGTTGTTGCAAATGACAGCATTTCATTCTTTCTCATGGCTGAATAACATTCCATTGTGTACACATAACACATTTTCTTTCTTCATTCCTTGATGGACCCTTACGCTGATTCTATATCTTTGCTTCTGTGACTCATGTTGCAATAAACGTGGGAATCCAGACAGCTCTTCAATACACTGATTTGGTTTTTGTTTTAATATATGCAACAGTAGGGTTGCTGGATCATATGGTACTTTTATTTTTGGTTTCTTTAGGAACCTCTATATTTTCGAGAGGGGCTGTACTAATTCACATTCCCACTGACTGTGTATGAGCATTCTCCTTTCTTCGCATCCTTGTCAGCATCCATTTTTTAAAATAAAAGTCATTTTAACTGAGGTAAGATGATATCTCATTGTGATTTTGACCCTCACTTCTCTGATGATTAGCGATGTTGACAATTTTCACATATACCTGTTGGTCATTTGTCATTTTTTGAGAAATGTCTGTTCAGGTCTTTTGAGAAATGTCTGTTCAGGTCTTTCCTCCATTTTTAAATCAGATTGTTCTATCAAATTATTGAGATACTAATAACATATTAATATGTAGCCATGCATTCTAGCCATTAATCCCTTGTCAGGTGGGTGGTCTGCAAACATTTTCTCCCATTCTGTGGGATGTCTTTCAACTTTGAGTATTTCCTTTGCTGTACAGCTTTTTAGCTTAATATGATCCCTTTTATTCATTTTTACTTCGGGCGCCTGGGCTTTTGAAGTCTTACTTAAAAAACCTTTGCCCAGATCAATGCCCTGGAGCATTCCCCTAATGTTTTCTTCTAGTATTTTCAGAATTCCAGATTTTAGATTTATGTATTTGATCTATTTTGATTTGATTTTTGTATTTGATGATAGACAGGGATCTAGTTTCATTCTTCTACATATGAATATCCAGTTTTCCCAGTACCATATATTGAAAAGACTGCTCTCCCCTCAATGTATGTTCTTGGGGCCTTTGTTGAAAATGAGTTGACTGTAAATGTGTGGATTTGTTTCTGGGTTCTCTGTTCGGTTCTGTTGGTCTATATGTCTATTGTTTTGCCAGCAATCTACAGATTCAATGCAATCCCTATCAAAATATGAATGCCATTCTTTAAAGAAATAAAATATATATAGGAGCACAAAAGACCCACAATAGCCAAAGCAGTCCCAAGAAAAATGAACAAAGCTGGTGGCATCACATACCTGACTTCAAATTACACTACAAACTATAGTGACCAAACTAGCATGGTACTGGCATAAAAAACATATGTAGACAAATGAAATACAATAGAGAACCCAGAAATGAAATTTATTGGTCTTCTTATGTCAGTAGCATGCTGTCTTTATAAGTATTGTTTTATTGTAAACTTTGAAATAAAGTAGTATGAATTCTCCCAATTTTTAAAATTACTTTAGAAAATCTACATCTTTTGCTTTTCCATATATTTTTATTTTAACTAGGTTGTTAATTTTACAAAATATCTTGCTTCAGATTTTGTGTGTGAGTGAATACAGTGATTAATTTTTCAATTAGTGGAGAATTGATACATGAACAATGTCGGGTCTTCTTATTGATTGTGGATTATCTCTCCAATTACTTAGGTTTGTAATGATTTTTAATGAGTATTTCGTATTTTTCATTATCTAAATACTGTACATGTTTTATTAAATTTTATTAAATTTACCCTTGCTTATTTAATATTTGTTGTTGCTCTTGTGTACGGTTCTGTTTTTAACCTCAATCTATAATTGTTCACTGCTAGTATGTAGAAATATAGTCAATTTTATTTACTAATCTTTTGGCTTAATTGGCTCCTTTCTACTCTCTTTAGGAAAAGGCTTAAATTATTAATTTTTTTCAGTTCAAATGCAAACATTTAATATTATATATTTCCTTTTAAGCATTATTTTATTTGCATCCCTCTGGTGCTGCTATGTTGTGTTTTACATTTTCCTCAATTCAAATACTTTCTATTTTCTCCTGCTACTTCTTTAATTCATGGATTATTTGGAAGCGTGTTGTTTAATTTCCTAATATTTAGGGATTTTTCAGGTATCATCCTGTTATCTATTTCTGGTTTCAATCTGTTTAGGACAAGAACATTTTTTGTTAAGGTCAAATAACATTCTTTGTAGGATTTCAGTTCTTTTAAACTTTTTGAGTTTGGTTTTATGGCACATATTGGCTATGCTGCCTAAATAGAATATATATTCTTCTTATATTCTATAAAGCAATTAAGTTTGCTGTCATATTGTTCAAGTCATCTAAATATTTTTTGATTTTTGTTGATTTGTTTATGTGTTAGATCTATTATGGACAGCAAGTGTTGATTGTCCTATGATTTTAAATCTTTATGTTTTTTCTTTTAGTGCTAAGATATTTGGAATTATGTATTTTTCATACATTTTTTTCTAACACTTTTTTTCTAACATATTTTTGCCAGAGCCTATGTCCAGAATGGTATTTCATAGACTATCTTCCAGGGTTTTCATAGTTGTAGGTTTTACATTTAAGTATTTAATCCATCTTGAGTTGATTCTTGTCTATGGTGTAAGGAAGGGGTACAGTTTCAGTCTTCTGCATATGGCTAGCCAATTATCTCAGCATCATTTGTTGAATAGGGAGTTCTTTTCCCATTGCTTATTTCTGTCGACTTTGTCGAAGATCATGTGGTTATGGGGTGCAGCTTTATTTTGGGATTCCCTAACTTGTTCTATTGGTCTATGTGCATGTTTTTGTACAAGTGCCATGCTATTTTGGTTACTCTAACCTTGTAATATAGTTTGAGGTCAGCTAGTATGATGCCTCCAGCTTTGATCATTTTGCTCAGGATTGCTTTGGCTATGTGGGATCTTTTTTGGTTTTATACGAATTTTAATATGGTTATTTCTAATTCTGTGAAGAATGTCATTGGTAGTTTGGTAGGAATAGCAGCTTTGAATTTGTAAATCCCTTTGGGCAACATGGCCATTTTAACAATATTTATTCTTCCTATTCATGATCGTGGAATGATTTTTGACTTGTTTGTGTTGTCTTTGATTTCTTCCAGCATTGTTTTATAATTCTCATTGTAGAAATATTTTGCTTCCCTGGTTATCTGTATTCCTGGGTATTTTGTTATTTTTGTGGCTACTGTGAATGGGATTGTGTTCTTGATTTGGCACTCAGCTTGGACGTTGTTGGTGTATAGAAATGCTACTGATTTTTGTACACTGATTTTGTATCCTGAAACTTTACTGAAGCTGTTTATCAGATTTTGGAGCTTTGGGGAAGAGCCTGTGGGATGTTATAAGTGTGGAATCATATAATCTGCAAACACAGATAGTTTGACCTTCTCTCCTCCTACTTAGATGGCTTAGTATTGTGTTAAATAGGAATGGTGAGAGAAAATATCCTTGTCTTGTGCCAGTTTTCAAGGAGAATGCTTCCAGCTTTCCCCTTGGGTTTGTTGTACATTACTTTTATTATTTTGAGGTATTTTCCGTCAATGCCTAGATTGTTGAGGTTTTGAACATGAAAAAAATGCTGAGTGTTTTAAATTTTTTTCTGCATTAATCAGTCATTCAGGAATAGGCTGATTAATTTCCATGTGATTGTATGGTTTCAATAGATTTTCTTTATTTTATTTTATTATTATTATACTTTAAGTTTTAGGGTACATGTGCACAACATGCAGGTTTGTTACATATGTATACATGTGCCATGTTGGTGTGCTGCACCCATTAACTCGTCATTTAGCATTAGATATATCTCTTAATGCTATCCCTCCCCTCTTCCCCCACCCCACAACAGTCCCTGGTGTGTTATTTTCTTAGTTTTGATTTCTGTTTTTATTGCCTCATGGTCCAAAAGTGTGGTAGGTATGATTTCACCTTTTTTTGAATTTTCTGAGTGTTGTTTTATGGCTGATTGTGTAGTCAATTTTAGAGTATGTGCCACCTGCAGATGAAAAGAATGCATATTCTATTGTTGCTGGGTTGAGAGTTCTGTAGATGTCTGTAAGGTCAATTTGGTCAAGTGTCAAGTTCAGGTCCTAAATGCTTCATTAGTTTTATGCCTCAGTGATCTATCTAACATGGTCAGTGGGCTGTTAAAGTCTCCCACTATTATTGTGTAATTATTTACGTCTATTTGCAGGTCTCTTAGAATTTGTTTTATGAATCTGGGTGCTCCTGGGTTGCATGCATGTATATTTAACAGAGTTAGGTTTTCTTGTTGAATTGCACTCTTTACCATTATGTAATTACCTTACTTATCTTTTTTGATCATTATTGGTTTAAAGTCTCTTTTGTCTGAAATTAGAATTGCAACTCCTGCTATTTTCTGTTTAATGTTTTCTTGGTAGATGTTTCTCCATCTTTTTACTTTGAGCCTATGGGTGTCATTGTATGTGAGACGAGTCTCTTAAAGACAGCGTAGAGTTGCATCTTGCTTCTTTATCCAACTTTCCACTCTGTGCCTTTTATTTAGGACATTTAGTCCATTTATATTCAAGGTTAATATTAATATATGCAGACTTGATTCTATTATCATATTGGTATCTGGTTATTATGCAGACATGTTTGTATGGTTGCTTTATAGTGTCAATGGTTTATGTACTTAAATGTGTTTTGTGGTGACTAGTAATGGCCTTTCCTTTCTATATTTATAAAGGCCTCCCTTAAAGACCTTTGTAAGGCAGGTCTGGTGGTAACAAATTCCCTTAGCATTTGCTTGTCCTATTTCTCCTTCACTTAGGAAGCTTAGTTTTGCCTGGATATGAAATTTTAGATGAAATTTCTTTTCTCTAAGAATGTTGAATTTAGGTCCCCTATCTTTTCTGCCTCGTAGGGTTTTTCCTGAAAGGTCCACTGTTAGCCTGATGGGGTAATCTTTGTAGGTGATATGCCCCTTCTCTCTATCTGCCTGTAACATGTTTTATTCTGTCATTTTGACCTTAGACAATCTGATGGCTATGTGTCTCAGATATGGTTGTCTTGTATATCATCTCACAAGGTTTTTCTGCATTTTTTGAATTTGAATGTTGGTCTCTCTAGTGAGGCTGGGGAAGTTTTCTTGGATAATATCCTCAAATATGTTTTCCAAATTGGTGCTTTCTTCTTCTCTTTTTCAGGGGCACTAATGTGTCATAGATTTGGTCTCTTTACATAATCTCATAGTTCTCAGAGGTTTTTGTTCATTCTTTTTTATTGTTTTTTCTTTATTTTTGTCTGACTGAGTTACTTCAGAGAATTGGTCATTGAGTTCTGGTAATTTTTCCTCAGCTTGGTAGATCCTGCTGATAATACTTGAGATTGTATTGTGAAATTCCGGAAGTGAGTTTTTGAGCTCTATTAGATCAGTTTAATTATTTCTTAAAATGCCCATTTGATCTTTCAGCTGCTGTATCACTTCACTTTATTCCTTAGATTCCTTGGATTGGGTTTTGACTTCCTCCAGAATAGCGATCTTTATTCCTATCTATTTTCTGTATTCTGTTTCTGTCATATCAGCCATTTCAGCCTGGTGAAGAACCATTGCTAGAGAACCAGTGCAGTCGTTTGGATGTAAGAGGATACTCTGGCTTCTTGAGTTGCCAGAGTTCTTGCACTGGTTCTTTTTCATCTGTGTGACTGATGTTCCTTCAGTCTTCGAGTTTGCTGTCCTTTGGATAGGGTTTTTTGCTTTCATCTTCTTCGATGCCCTTGGGTATTTGACTGTGGTATAAGGTAGTTTCAGTTGGCTGGCTTCATTTCTGGAAGATTTTAGAAGCCCAAGGCTCAGCTCATCAGGCCTGGGCTGCCTGCTTTAATTCTGGGGGACTAGTATCAGGCCCCCTCACTCTGTTCTCTGGCCCCTTTGTTCTTTGGAACCTACTGTGCTGGAGGAGCAAAGGTGTTCCTTGTTGCTGGCCACAATACTCCTATGGGTGGTGCTGGCCAAAGTGCTAAAGTCAGGATGATGGCAGTGGAATCTGTGCTCACTAGTGAGTGCCAATAGCCACGGCAGTGCAGCCAGGGCCATGCACATTGGTTGGGGCAAGGCACCAGCAGGAGTAGGGCTGTGGCATTCCTCTGAGTGCTCACACTGACAGCATCAGCGGCGGTACAGCAAGGGTGGGGGCTGGCAGGCGCGGGATTGCTGGTATCTGTCCAGGTGTTCACACCGGGATGGTGGCATGGCAGGATACCCATGCGTCAGAGGGGGGTTGGGGGTGCAGCATGGTGCCAGCAGTACTGGCACAACGGGGTGTGCACGTGCACAAGTGCTGGTGAGGCAGGTGAGGTGAAGTCGGTCTGTGCGCACACACTGGGAAAGCAGTGGGTTGGTGGCCATGAGCATGTGCGTGCCAACAAAGCAGTGGGGACAGGCTATGGTGGCAGGATGGTGCAGGTGGGCTGGTGCATGTCATCAGGGTCCACTGTGCTGGTGCTCTCCAAGGGTCAGGTGTGGTCTGCCTCTGCCAGCCAAGAAGTTATGATGAGGGCCTCTGGGAAGCATATTGGTGGGAATTCAAGACTGTGCTGCAAGTAGGTGCAGCCAGGCTGGGGCCCTGGAAGAGGCCAGCAGGAAAAACGGTGCTCAGATTAGACCAACTCCAGCTCATGGGCAAGAGAGCCCTGCTCTGCATAGATCTGACAGTCACCCTAAGACTAAAGTCTTCTAGGGAGCATGTCCAGCCTTGGGGGATGGGAGTCCCTGGCCATGCTCCACTGCAGATGTTCCCACCTCACACCCTCTGGGCTCCACACAGGCTGGAGTCCTGCCCCTACCACCTCTCCAAGCAGCTTTCCCTGCCAGCTCAAGTATCTGTGGAGGTCATGGCATCTCCTGCTGTTAAGATTCCAGAGGTTCATGGTGAGAGCAGGCCACCCCTCCTGTGTTCAACTTAACCTCTTCCCCAGAAGCCACTGGGGGCCAGGAACAAGCCCCAGTGTTCGGTAGCCATGTGCAGGGTTCCCTGCTTCCTCCTTCAGCCTAGTATCTGCGTCCTCCCTCCATCCACTCTCAATGCCTTCCCTCCAAAGATTTGCTTCGTGTGACATTCTTCCCTATGTCCTAGTCTCTTGATGGGAGATGTTCTTCCTGGCTGCGTCCAGTCAGCTATCTAGCTCTGAGTTTCATCTCCTAGTTTGTTCTCAACAGAAATCAAAACTTATGTTGAGCAGTTATGCTCAAAGCAAAAGCCTTTTTCCATTTTCTGCTTATATCTGCTTCTGACCTCCATTTAGTTTTCAGCCTGTAAGTAGTCCTCACCAACTTGTCAACTTATTGTTTCACTTAAAATTATAATTTAAGCTATTTTTTTCAATAACTTTAGTTGGTTTCAGAGGTAGCATCTATTGAGGAACCAACTTTGTCTCAGAATGACAGAAACAAAAGTCCACTCTGGCTATTTGATCTGTCATCAGGGCCTCTTAATAGACATTTTACTTCTGTGTAAATCAGGAACCGAAAATGTGATTGTCCTGCTTAGTCATTATACATCAAGTTTATCTGTTTAAACTCTTCTTTGCTTTATTTAGTAGAAAACTACCTTTAAGTTCTTAAAAATCATCTTGGTATGATTAAAATCCTAAACAGAGTAAATAAGACATATTTTGTAAATTAATATAAATCTACTAATTCTTATGGCACATATGTTTTTAAACTAATTAATTAATTGATTGGTAGCATGGGAGATTCTTCTCATAAAGTGGAGTTTATTTGGGTCATGGTAATTTCTATACTGAAAAAGATAGACATAATTTTTTTCACATGCCTCCTTCTTAAAGTATACTATAACATATTCCTCTTTTCTTTTAGACTCACAGTAAAAGCTGGCCACCAGTGAACAGTCACATACCTAAGAACATAGTGAAGTCATTTGTTAAATGGTTTCCTTAGTTCATTAATTATATCTCTAAAGGCTGTGTTGGCATGCTTAACATAGCCAGGAATTAATTTATTTATAAAATTGAATATAGGAACAGTAATTGGATATATAAAACAAAACTTTAATTCACCTGGTGATTTAATTTGTTCTTTCATATAGGCAGATAGTTCTAATTTTACATATATGTTTATTTAATTCTTGTTTGAGATTTCAAGTGTATATATTTTTCTCTTTTTCCTAAGAAGATATGGTAGAGTACTTTCCCTCTTGGGATAGTAGTGTTTCAACAGGAACAGATTTTGCTGCTTGCATCAGTAAATATGCCAGGGAAATCAAACTAAATAGGAAATTATCTACAACACAAGAATTTTCTTGTCATTCCATCTTTGCGTAAAGAAATAACTCTGGAGGATATAAAGCAGATGAATAGTGTGTGATTAATTTTGATATAATTAAAGACTACATTTACCATAAAATCAAAGAGAAAAAGATAAATATTAACATGAATATGTTACAGAACTGAGAGAGGACCTCTAGTCCAATTATTCTTTAACATTTTTACTCTGACATAACAGAATTACCTTTCTTCAATACTAGATTTCTCTAAATAATTACATTTATATCATTCAATTGAAAACCTGGAATACAATTTCAATTCTTTGTAATGTCATGAACCATTCCACTCTACTTTCTAGCCTAATGACTCATCGCCGTTTGAACATATCCTCCAGGTAAAGTTGGATTTAAAGTTTTTGAATAAGCCATACTGTTTCTTAGTTTCATCAGTATGAGATAACCTTAGTTTTATTCCCACTTTATATCCATACCAATAATTTAAAGAAAGACTTGAAAGTCATCTCCATTTTATTATTTCTCTCACCTATGCTTTATTTTTTCCATTACAATTCGTAACTCATGGCTTGAAATTTCTTCATATATTTCATTCACTTCTAGTAGAATTAGCTATTTGAATATTGTTTTCCACTATGCCAAATCAAGTGCAATATAGTTGAGGGCCACTCCTTGAGTCAATGAATGCTATGCAAATGGATTTCTATTAAAGGGAGCAAATTTTTAAAAAATTCTATAGCCTAATTTGATGAATACGTGCAATGAGGGAGGTGCTCTGGTACGCATGAGTAATTTAATGCTACTTTGACACAGTTCCTGACTATAAGAGGTACACAATGCTGTCATACACACACACACACTCAGAGCTTACGCTAGAGTATAATATACTTAAAAATAGGGAGATGCACAGTATTTAATGGTTTAAAACATCTCACTGTAGATGATTGACCAGGATCATGCAGAAAAGTAAAAGTGTGACTGAATGAGAAAAAGAATGCTAATTTCTGTCTGATTGTACAAGCCAGACAAGTAAGTTGACTAAGAAAGGGTGCAGGGATAGAGTTAGCCACTTACTTCCTGAAATACAGACATAATTCAATGATGTAGTTCTTCCTTCTACTTTAACTCAGGGTTTCTTGTGGCTAGCAAAATAAATGAATTGTCTTATTACAAAAGAAGGACATGCAAATTAAGACTACAAAGATATACATATCTATACTCACCATTATTAGCAGCAATAAAATGTCTAAGACATTGAGTATAGGCAAAAGATTTTAAAATGGGTAATTCTTATTCATTAAAAATGATAGTGTAGATTGGTATAAACTCTTTAGAAATAATTTGGAGTTATCTCGAAAAGGTGAGCATTTACAAACTTTTAAAACAGATATTATATTCTTAAGTATATGACTTAGAAAAATTTTCTCTACTCACCAAGAGACATGTACAAAATATCTGATTGCACTTTTCACAATGGCTAAAAAATACACCAACCTGGAAATAAGGCAAACATTCACTCACTTGAGGTGAGTTAGTGAATTTAATATTTGCACATAATGGAATACTTAAAGCATTGGAAATTAATGAACAACCTACTACAACAGTAACTTGGATGAGTTGTAGAAACATAGTGTTGAGTGAAATAAATAATTGCAGAGTGTTACACGATGCCAGTTTTAAAAGCTTTAGACCAAGAAACACACAAAATATATTTTTAGGAAAACTAGATGTTTGAAAAAACATATATTTTAAATGCAAGTAAATCATGGATACAAAGTTATAGATATTTAGATATGTCTTGCTTTGAGAAAGTAAGACGTAGTAATAAAAATTAGGTCTCGACTGCAAGAACTCTGAAATATTCTTATTCTTTTTATTATTCTGCTTTATATTTACATACAGGTTGAATAATTTATATTAATGTTGCAATTAGTTTAAAAGTGGATATCCAAAATATAAGGAAGTCTCTAAATAGACATTTTACATATACATAAATCAAAAGCCCACAATAAAAATGAAAAGGCTTCTTCAATAAAAAATAATAATACAATTTTTATGCTAGAATTGTGATATCTAGAGGCCCCTTGATAACAACAAAGAAAGAACAACTATACTCAATATCCTTTAAATATTAGAAGTACAAATTCTTCCATATAACACCCACAACAATAACAACAACACAACTGGGGGATTTATCTCCAGAAAACCTGCTCTAAAGAAATAAAAATTATTAAGGCAAATTTTTATTAAGAAGGAAACACAGACTTATAAGAATAGATGAAGGGAAACGAAGACTGAAATATGAGTTTAAAAATGAAATTTATGGCCAGGCGCTGTGGCTTACACCTGTAATCCCAGCATTTTGGGAGGCTGATGCAGACAGATTACGAGGTCAAGAGATTGAGACTATCCTGGCCAACACAGTGAAACCCCGTCTCTACTAAAAATACAAAATTTAGCAGGGCGTGGTGGCGTGCACCTGTAGTCCCAGCTACTCGGGAGGCTGAGGCAGGAGAATCACTTGAACCTGGGAGGCAGAGGTTGCAGTGAGCCGAGATCATACTACTGCATTCCAGCCTGGCGACAGAGCAAGACTCCGTCTCAAAAAATAAATAAATAAATAAATAAAATAAATAAAAATAAAAATAAATGAAATTTATGAAACATTGACAGTACCAGGCAAATAAAAAACATCTAGAGAATTCTGAATACTAACTAAAATGTATGAATACAATGATGCGAGTTATAAAAATTAAATGGAATTTGTGTATAAGATTTTAGGACTGTGGGGAATATTTGAAAGTAATAATTTTTATAAACTAAGTGAATAATCCATGTTGTAAATCTTGAATCACTATTTAAAGCACAACAAAACATGCATAAATAAATAAGTAAATTGAGGAAAAATGGACTGAGAGTATTTTATTCATCTAAAAGAAGGCAGGATGGGGTAAAACAAATTGAAAACTGATACATCAACCGGGAAACAAATGATAAAATGACAGATATTGATGAATGGCAGAATATGTACCCCAAAATATGCCATGTGGGTATAAGAATTATTTTGAGTTAAAGGCACTTCCAAAGCAGCAAATGTAAAAATGTCATTCTAATCTCTTTTCAACCTGGAAATAGGAGATAAAAATTCCCGTGTGCGAGATGTAGTCCCTGTACCAGAAGAAAAGAAATATTCTTGGCTGAACGGTCATGACCAAGAGAATTCTCTACAGACCTTGTTAAAACAATTATTATCTTCTTATATTGATATTTGTAATCAAATGTATTGAGAGATTGGGCTAGTGTCTCCTCAGGACATGATACTTACGTATTACTATTTTCATTTTATTGAAAATGTCTGGTCTGAGGAAGAACTGGATCTACCTAGCCATCAGCTGTTTTCTGTGTTACAGAGTTATGCACAAGTTTATCAAAATATACAAACAGCAGTGGATCAAGGGGGAAACAGAATAGTTAAATTAATACAAGACTATGAAAATCTATGTGGTGGCTTTCCTGGGCAAATTAGATTTAAAAAAAAATGTCTTCAACGTGTCAAAAAGAACCTTTATTTACTTTCATAACAGCCTCTTATGCATTATTGTCAAATGCATTTGGAGCAGGTGCTCTCGGAACTGGAGTTTTCTGACCCTTCTCAGCTTTTGGAAGAGGACCTGCCTTCTGGCCTGTGGTTTCCTGGGAAGGAGGCTTCTAGGCTGGAGCCTTCTTTCCTGCAGTGGTCCTCTTTATTTTTATTTTTATTTATTTATTTATTTATTATATTTTAAGTTCTAGCGTGCATGTGCACAATGTGCAGGTTTGTTACATATGTATACATGTGCCATGTTGGCGTGCTTCACCCATTAACTCATCATTTACATTAGGTGTATCTCCTAATGCTATCCCTCCCCCCTTCCCCCTAACCCACGACAGGCCCCAGTGTGTGATGTTCCTCACCCTGTGTCCAAATGTTCTCATTGTTCAATTCCCACATATGAGTGAGAACTGCAGAAGCTGCAGCAGCACCTTTAGCAGCAGGTGTTTTTTCAGGAGAAGTTTTCATGACAGCTGCCTCTTGAAGCTTCTTAATTTCATTCTTGATTATTCTGCTCCTCATTTTATTTGCATTCATAACTATAAAATTATCAAAATCTGTCATCTTGGCTTTCCTTTCTATGGCTTCAATCTTTTTGTCCTGCCTTGTGGCTGCCCATTTTGTACTGACATTGGCCTCCTGCCAGGCTTGTCGGACATACTTCTTTAGGGTGCTGTGTACGAACTTGAGGATGAAGTCAGTGAGCCGCATGCATTTGAAAGGAGCGGCCTGTCTCCTTACCCTAGTGCAATGTCCATTAATCAAAGCCCTGTTTTGATCAATAACATTTACAATTGGGACCGGCTTTCTGGCATGAGGTCCAAAGGAGACTTAGGCCACCTGTCCAACCTCTGACACACCTGAACACCTTATGTTGATTGATCCCTACTCTACACTGCTTCTTCAAATGTTAGGCATATTAGTGTTGGTACTATTTCTACAGTAGTTCTATAATGCTACACACAATGTAAGTATGCTGACAGATATGATCATTTGGCTTTAAGGAGTCTGTGACCAGACACTGGAGGTTGAATTGTTCATTGTTTTCTGGCATCACTTCTTAGAATTAAAACAACAAACACCAGCTTGATTATTTTTATTTTTACCCTAAGGGATGATTTGCTTTGCTTGTCTAATGCCTGAAAATTTATTTCTCTATCCTTGAAATTTAACGATTTAAATGAGTTATTTTTTAAAAAACAAAACAAACAATACATTTCTCTCAAATCAATATTCATCTCCCATGATTTCTTGTGCCATATCTTCAATATTATGCATGTAAATAGATTTCCTAATTATTTTTGTTAATCCTCTAGAAGTGCATTGCCTCATATACAAGCTGTTATTTTGTTTTCTTTAAACTTACGTACTTACTTCTTATGTTTAGTGTAATATTAATGTATTTTAATTTTTTTTTTTTTTTTGAAACGGAGTCTTGCTCTGTCACCCAGGCTGGAGTGCGTTGGCACAATCTCGGCTCACTGCAACCTCCACCTCCCGGGTTCAAGCGATTCTCTTGCCTCAGCCTCTGGAGTAGCTGGGACCACAGGCACGTCTGGCATGCCCGGCTAATGTTTCTATTTTTAGTAGAGATGGTGTTTTGCCATGTTGGACGGGCTGGTCTCGAACTCCTGACCTCAGGTGATCCAACCGACTCAGCCTCTCAAAAAGCTGGGATTGCAGGCAAGAGCCACTGCACCCAGCCTTAATTTTTTTTAAGAATGATTTCCATCCTTTGAAATGTGATGAGGCTAGATGAATTAGCTTATGGTTATTGTGATGGTTAATATTGAGTGTCAACC
This sequence comes from Homo sapiens, assembly GCF_000001405.40. Classification (NCBI taxonomy): domain Eukaryota; kingdom Metazoa; phylum Chordata; class Mammalia; order Primates; family Hominidae; genus Homo; species Homo sapiens. The sequence goes on from NC_000005.10 coordinate 85,211,844, forward strand.
TGACTGGATTGAAGGATACAAAGTATTGTTCCTGGGTGTGTCTGTGAAGGTGTTGCCAAAGGAGATTAACATTTGTGTCAATTGACCAAGACCGACCCACCCTCAGTCTGGGTGGGCACAATCTAATCAGCTGCCAGCACAGTCAGAATAAAAGCAGGCAGAAGAACGTGGAGAGACTAGACTGGTTTAGTCTTCAGGCCTACATCTTTCTCCCGTGCTGGATGCTTCCTGCCCTTGAACATCCAACTCCAAGTTCTTCAGCTTTGGGACTAGGACTGGCTTCCTTGCTGCTAAGCTTGCAGACGCTGTATTGTGGGACCTCACCTTGTGATCATGTGAGTCAATACACCTTAATAAAGTCTCCTCTATATATACATCTATCCTATTAGCGCTGTCCCTCTAGAGAACCCTGAATAATACAGTTATTTTTGTGACATTTCCTTGTGCACTTGAAAAGAATAAATCTCCAGCCATTATTTGTTCCATTGTTCTACATATCAGTATGTCAAGTTGGCTAAATGAATTTTTTAGCTGTTATCTTTCTTTAGTTTTATAACTACTTGCTCTAATACAAAGATGTCTTCTACAGCCTTCTACTATGACTGTGGATTTGTACACTTCTCTTTTTAATTCTGTATATTTTTTGTAAAATATGTTTTAGAATGATGTTTTTTGATATACACATAATTAGAATTACAACTTCTTTCTTTTGGACTGATCCTTTTATTATCATGAAATGTCTCTTTCACTTTTCAAAAAGCTTATTATTAAAAGTATGTGATAGTCTTATAATAATTCAGCTATACCAGTTATCTTTTTGTTGGTGTTTGAATTATAATTTTTTTCTTTTCTTTCACTTTCAACCTTTATATATGTATGTGTGTGTGTGTGTGTGTGTGTGTGTGTATATATAGGTTTTATTAGTTTGTTTTTTTCTATCAAAAATAGACAAACTGACCAAGGAAATTAAAAAAAAAAAAGAAGAATGGGTGGAGAAGGAGTCCAGCAATGGAGTCACTCATACACATTCATCTGACTTAAGCTTAAAGCACTATACTAGGGTGTTAAAATGTTTTATTAAAATAAATGGTTCTATGTCGATTGGATACAAATATAGGAAAAAATGGTTTTAGTATATTATTGACAACATATACAAAAAATTTCCTTTATGTATTACAGTCCTAAATCTGAAAGGTTAAACAAGTGAGCATTTAGAAAAAAAAAGAAAAAAAGAAAAATATTTTATGATATTGGTGTAAGCAAATATTTATTACACAGGATACAAAAAGTCAATAATGTTATACTCAGAAGATTAAAAATAATTTAAGAATCAAAAAAATTAGAATGATAGTTTCCAGCTTCATCCATGTCCCTAATGCAAATGACGAGTTAATGGGTGCAGCACACCAACATGGCACATGTATATGCATATTTAACAAACCTGCACGTTGTGCACATGTACCCTAGAACTTAAAGTATAATAATAATTTTAAAAAATCTAAACAATTAGACAACCAAAAAGGAAAATAAACACAGGTGTAGACAGTCACTCTAAAAGTAAGCTAACTAAATAGACAATGAATAACTTTAAAACATGTTTGATGTTACCTAAGAAAAGCAACTTATGTCCCAAAGCTATACAATAGATCAAAGAGCTTTATGAGTGAAACAAAAATAGGAAAGAAAAAACAGATAATTTCAAGTTTTAGTGAGAAGATGAAGTAAAACAAATCTCATAAACTTAACACTTTAGAAAACTACTTGACACCTAGTAACTCCCTGATACACATATCCCATATTACTTATAGACATATACATAGTTTTAGTAATATGCCCAAAATAAATTTCTACATGTATTCACTAATGGACAAGTAAAATAATGTTTATAGCAGCTTTTTTTTTCTTACAAGCCTTGGTTCAGTAAAACCCCAAATACATATGAACAGAATTATCGATAAATAAACTGTGGTATATTCATTCAATGGGCTACTATTCATACATGTATAGCAAAAAGAATGATTGAACTAAAACTATATTCAAAAACATGAGTGAATCTTCCACACCTAATATTAAGCCGAAGAAGCCAAAAACACAAAATTGTTCATTCTGCATAATTTATTTGTATACTGTTTTAAAACTGGCTGTATATATATATATATGTGTGTTACTAGAAGTCAGAATAACGATTACCCTTGTCATGTAGTGTAACAGCTACAGGAGGATGGCTGGTATATATTCGACTTGTTTTGACATAGGTGCTGATTACATAAGTGTATTCACTTTGTGAAGTATTATTGAGCTGAACACATACACTTTAGAAACTACTGTTTGCTTATTTTGCAACAATAAAATATGTAAAATGAAAAAATACTATAGGTTTGCTATGACCCTATATATTAATGTTATAAAACATACCACAAAGTCAACTGATAAAGAACTTTTAATAATAATGATCTAGACTGTTGTTGAGTCTATATTTACTAACCCAGTTGTGTCATATCTGCCACCAGAATGTGGATTCATTATTTAACTAAGAAAATAAACATTTAAACAAAAGCTAAGCCAATGTGAATATGACAAATTTCAAAGGACAAGTGTATATTGGAAGTGTGAATATCCCCAGACATAATCTATGTTTTTACTCAAAATAGTTCAGAAATCTTAATAGGATGCATATATAATTTACATATACAACTATGAAAAGAAGCATAATAACATTACTTGGCTTTTTTTTTTCCAATTTTACTTATAAACCTACATACTCAAGCAGTCCTTGGATTTTGCTGTTTCTCATTATTTTCTATTGAATAGCAATAGTTAGGGTCATTAAAATGAGAAAGAGTTGGACTAAGTTGGACAACGTTCAAGATTTCAGAGCACACAGTTGGAAAATCACTGTCAAGAGTAAAGTTGGCCGGGCGCGGTGGTTCACGCCTGTAATCCCAGCACTTTGGGAGGCCAAGGCGGGCGGATCACGAGGTCAGGAGATCGAGACCATCCTGGCTAACATGGTGAAACCCCGTCTCTACTAAAAATACAGAAAAATTAGCCGGGCATGGTGGCGGGCACCTGTAGTCACAGCTACTTGGGAGGCTGAGGCAAGAGAATGCCCTGAACCCAGGAGGTGGAGTTTGCAGTGAGCCCGAGATAGCGCGATAGCGCGCCACTGCACTCCAGCCTGGGCGACAGAATGAGACTCCGTCTCAAAAAAAAAAAAAAAGAGTAAAGTTAACTTTGATTGACTTGTTTTTAACTGGCTTTGCAGCTGTAGACTACAACATTATCCCACAGGTTAAATGTTGCTGAAATGATTCTTAGTAGCTCTAGTAAGAGATCATATACTCTCTAAGCTGGGAATTTCAAATAAATTTCTGCTAGACACATGAGTTGGGTGTAAGCTTTGAATAAATTATTTGGTATCTCAGGAAGTTTTTTTTTCCAGTCTAGTGAATGTTTCAGAGACTGACTGTTTACTGCTGACTTCTAGTAGACAGTTTATGAACTGTTTACTTAGTTCAAGGTAGAATAAGCTTTACCAGCAACAAAGTTTCCTGTAGAATGTCTCCTCCAGGAAAAATGCATCAGGATCTTAACTATGAGTGCTGAATGAGATTTAGTTTTCATACAAGCTGTAGATTTTGAGACTAAATACAGAAGTGATACTTGGGTTTCTTTGTTTTTATTTTGCTAAAATGAAAGTGATTGCTACATATCATGACTACTGAAGAATATAGAGTTTTCAGATATTATTCTTATTAGCTCATTTTTAATGTCAAGTTTCGTTACTTTACAGTCATTCTACATGGTTCCTGAAGTTTGAGTGTGATAGAAATGTTTCCAAATATATTTTCCACAATTAAATACAATATTTCAGAAAAACATTTAGTAAGATACATACTAAACACCTTATTGTGTCCTTACCATTGTGATAGATGCTGGATGGTAGAAATATACCAATATATAACACAGATTTTAAACCCTAGAGAAATGTCTTTAGATGAAAATAATTATGTATGTAAAAGAATGTACTCATACATTCATATTCAATAGTATACACTCATATTCTATTGGTTGCATTTATAAATATATATTTATATATTATGTGTTAATATATACTTATATATGTGTAATGTAATATATATTTATATATAATATATTACATATGTATATATAAACTTATTTACATATAAATATAAATATATAGATACATAAGTATATATAATACAAAATATGTAAATATAGCTATATATTATATATAACATATATCATTTATATGTTATATAATATTTATATAAATCTATGTAAATATATATAATATGATTATATGAGCCTATGGTATAATATATTACAGAATAAGTGCTATAAATATCACAAAATATAAAGGAATAACATACAAATTAAGCTGTTTGTTTTCACCAAATTTCATATAACTAGGACTCTTTCACACAAAGGTGAGCCATATAGAAGAATACTTGAAAGTAAGTTTATAAAATTCATTTCCTTTCATTTTAACTCAATAAAATGACTTCCTAATGTAAAACATTGCTGCTAGGCATTTTGTGCACTTTCAGCTGATATTTGTCAAAATGGAAAATTTTAAATCCTTTTTAAAAGGGAGAGATTTTAACGTGCATTTTGAAATATTTTGTCTTTGATATCTGAAAATAAATTGTTATAAAAGTTGTCAAGATCTATGTTTCTTATCACTGAGTTAAATGTTGAAGGATTTCAGAAAGTTACCATACAGCTTGATAATTCTCAGTATTAATCAGTATGATTACAGTAATAGGCAATTAATTAACCTTTTAGGTAGAAGTGTGGCTAAAGGAATTGCCAGGAGGAGGACAGAAGAGAGTTACATATCTTGGTTACTCTGATTTAGCAATCATTGTTCATGTCTAATCACATTACTTACATCAACTCTGTTACATTATTGTCACTTAGATGTATATGGATAGTGATATTTTCCACTTCAATCATAATTTTAAAGATTGAGTGGTTATTTGCTTGACTCAAATGAACACTCCATGATCAGTGAGCCACCTAATGCTACTACTATGAGTATTCTATTCAAAAAATATCTAATTTTCTAAAACTCTTCAAACCAAGCCCTGCTCGAAGGTTTTAGGCCACAGAGATCTTCATGTATATGTCCTGTCACTAAATAAATAATGTAGGTTGTGCTACCCAAACCATGCGAGATATTATTAAGTTTCACTTGAGAACTTGTTTAAGCAAAAAATTGTCTTGTGAAAAAAAAAAAAACAAGCTGGGGGTTATTAAATATTCTGAGGCAAAAAGACCCTCCTCTTAGAGCTTGAAACAATAGTCAGAATATGCTTCTAAATAAGAAAAACAAATGGACTTCTTTTTCCTGAGTTTGTATTTTCAAGTTAATTATTTTCATGTAGGACACCATGATACTGCTAGGCAAACACAATTTCTTTGCCAGTGTCCTGAGTCTGAGAGAAGTAAACAAGAATAAAATGCAGATGCATGCTTATAATTATATAAAATGATATTTTTATATCTGCACAGCCATTTACTGTTTACATGTACAATAATGTCTGTAGGTAGGAGCATACTTTTTTGGTAACAAGAAATTTGGATTTTAAGGAATAATCTTCTCTTCATTTTTGCTTATATAATGATTACTCCAACAACTTTGTTAAATGAGTTCAGTTACTTTTCTGGGCCATGTGTAGATGTAATGAAAAATTAGGACTTGGAAGGTACGTCTATGATTGGTCAACAAACAGAGAATCCACTGCCCCTCCTAATTATCTGACATCCATCTGGCATAAGCAAAGACAGCGTTCTCTTGCTATTCCACTAGCTTATTTGTGCTCAAAAGTGCTTAAAATTGCAACTATGTAATGAAATCAATGTGGGATGCTATAGACAGAATATAAAAATATCAGAATACATGTTTATAAAATAATAGTTATTTAAAACAAACATTTTATTCTATTATTATGGTTAAATAACTTTGGCAAGGGATGTACAGAGTAAAATTGATTCAAATGGGAGAGATTTCTTTGACATTAAAACATTAGTGGAGGTGTTGTGTAGGTGATTTTGCATGTAGTCTAGAAAAGGGTGTAGAATTTGGACATGTTCCTCTATTTTGAGGAAAAAGAGCCAAAGTGTACCAGTAAAAACTAAGAAATATATATATATATATGGGAAAAATTTTATAGAGTAGCTTAAGCATATGGGAAGTAAAATAGGAAAACTTACCTACACCTATATTAAAGGGCTTTTAACTTCTGACCTATGATTTAAAACTGTTTTATGTGATACATCAGTGCAAAGTTGTCAAAGAGGCTGTTGGAATTGGCAAAGTTCCATGAATTCCAATGTTAAAAAACTATACATGGAAACATTTGACAGAGCAGTTAACCAATTTATGTGAATTGGATATAATTTATATAGAAGGAAGCCTAAAAGAAAAGAAGAAAAGAGGCTAAAGAATAGATTTGAGGCATGACATAAAAAAGAGAAAGAGGTAAGAAAGCAATTAGAAGGAAGAATTACAAGATATTGAATTATACCTAGGAAAAAATGGTGTCATGGAAACCAAAGAAGCAGAGAAATTCTTGCTAAGTCTAGCAACCATATCAAAATATACAGAGATGCAGACTGCAAACAAAAAACCAGTATTCAATATTTGTTTTAATTATCCTTATAGAATAGTATAAAATCAGTGAGAAGATGTATGGAATGAAACTAAGATAAACAGTAGACTAGGAAAGTAAAATTAGGGTATTCAGATGAGAAGTATTGAAATGGAAAAAGAAAATGATATATTTACATGTGAAATCAAACTAATGAACTCAAATCTATTATAGAAAATTGTACGTGTGTATATGTGTGTGTGTATACATAGAGATATATACAATCTTGTCTCTATTTTCATGCCCTTTCACACATTTTACTTTGCTGCATGCTATGTGGACAAATCCAGACTGGCTTGCTGAAGAATAAAAGAACACTTGGAACCTGGACGCCCATGCCAGATGAGACAATTTAGTCCAGTCAGCACTCGGCAAGATTGGCAGGTGACTACAGAAGCACTAGTGAGCCCTGCCACCAGCTAAGCCTGGTCCAGCCCAGTAAAACCACCTTCTTAGAGCAACCTAAATTGCCATCCCATAGAATGTAACCTAAATCAAGCACTAGTATTTTAATCCACTGGGTTTAGGATAACTTATTGCATAGTAAAACTAACTGAATACAAATGCATTAAAAAAAATTCGAGGTAATTAAAAATCCTATAAACATTAATTTTAAATATATCTTACAATAATTTCAAATTCTGTGGAATTGTTTGTGAAAAAGCTTATTCCAAGGTATCCTTATGAGACCAAAAAATACATGTTTTTGTTCTAAAATTTAAATTTCCTAATAATTACTTTATTCCACCTCATCAGATTAGCTGAAACAAATAAAAACAAATGAAGTCCCTAAGGGACTGGGAGAAAGAACTAGAAATATGAAAATTTACAGAAATAGTATATGTGGTAACCATATATTTTGGTGTATTTGGAACAGGCATAGTTTATGTCAGTATTTCCAGTGTCCTATCTGTCTTAGCATTTGTCCCAACCTTTTCTCTCCCAAGTGTTTCACAAATGGGACACAACATTTTATATGATTACTCTAGAACCTGGGAATATGGTAGCATGAACATAATAAAATTAAAGCAAAACTGTTATCTAGTTATTTTTTTCCCTAAGTTGGTGGTATTTAAAAGTTACAATTCAGGCATGAATAGTGACAACTCTCCTAAACAACAAACAACCATTAGTAACTTAGTGAAATTCTCTTGTTTTATATTTCAAATAAATAATCTACAAGTATAATTTCATTGCAAAGATTTATTTAAACATTATTTATGATATGTTGGTGAGGTTTTACCTATTTTCTGTCAAATGGTGCTGACAAACATTGTTGGTTGCTTTGGCTTGAATGCTATCCAATATTCAAACTTCAGGAAAGATAACAGGTTTTCACAAGTCATTATTTGTATAGAATTAGAAATAACCACTTTGTTGTTCTTTTATTATTATTTTTGCTGAAATTTTAATTGGACTAAAATGTTAAACTTTGAAAAATAATATTGTTTGAAGAAAGTTTTTGGAAAAATTCCTCAAAATTTTAAGATAAGAGGAGTAATAAGGTGATCTATTAAAACCTTATAAGAAATCTGCTTATACAGGTGACAAACATCTTGCTTTACCACCTTCAGACTTGTTTCTGATAGAAGAAAAAATAAAACAGGGAAATTTTATTAGCTTTAAATTATTTGAAGGCACAAACAGTTTTTTTTAATATATAAACTATGTCCCTATCACCTTTGTGGCAGTAGCAGTGCATGCAAACTACATTATACAGAACTATTTAAAAATGTTTTGATGTTTTCATTAAAAGAGGAATACATACGTAAGTTACACCTTGGTTTAGTGCTATTTAATAAAAGTGTTAATAAAAATATTTCTGAATTCAGCATATTTCTTAAAATTGGAAAGCCAATTTACAGTTATTATTTTTATTTGATCAACTTCACTTAGATTTGAAGTAACAAAGAGATATTTAACTTTGATATGAAGTATAATTAGACTATGGAAAAAATTTTAAAGGTCAATGTTTTTTTCTTTATCACACCATCCAGTGGTGAGTCCCTGTTTCACAGCCATTATTATCCATGCACATTATCAATACCATCCCTTCACTTTTCCCAGCTATAAGATTGGAAATGACCACATATGCTTTGAACTTCTCCTTTACCATTCTTACGGCTCACTTTCCAAATCTCCAAATTTGTTGTTTTTGTTTTTAATACTACCTTCTAAATATCTAGTGACATACCATCTGCACTTATTTTATTTTGGCATAGACTACTTTAACAGTTTTCTTTTTTTTTTTAGATGGAGTTTTGCTCTTGTCACCCAGGCTGGAGTGCAGTGGCGCCATCTTGGCTCGCTGCAACCTCTGCCTTCCAGGTCCAAGTGATTCTCCTGTCTCAGCCTCCTGAGTAGCTAGGGTTACAGGCGCACACCACCACACCTAACTAATTTTTTGTTTTATGTTTTAGTAGAGATGGGGTTTCACCATGTTGGCCAGGCTGGTCTTGAACTCCTGACCTCAGGAGATCTGCCCACCTTGGCCTCCCAAAATGCTGTGATTAACAGGCGTGAGCCACCGCTCCCGGCCCAGTTTTCTACTTTCGTTTAATTTTCTCCAGTATTCACCCACCCTAGTTCATCTTTTATACTGCCTAAACTTTCTGATACATAAATCAACTTTCAAGTATTATGAGTATTGAATTAGAGATAACAAATAAATTTTAGCGAGTATGCAAATCCACAAATTTAGAATTAATGAATAATGAGAAGAGACTGTATCATTATTAAGTGTTAGCATTTATTTGCCCCTGACTCCACTATCCATTTTCTTTTTATTCCAAGGGGGAATTCATCATATTGTTCCTGAATCACTCTAAATACTGAAAAAAAGGATAATTTGGGGATTTTGAAATCCAGGATATAGAAATATTATGGGATGTTAAAGATTTCAGTTAGTACATATATACTTATTTATAATAATGCTAATTATAAAAATATTTATAATTTTTTATAATTATTTATAATGCTAATATAGCATTTAAAAACTAAAGTGAATGATTTTCACCTTATATTATCTAAGTTAATGTTTAAAAACCCCGATATAGTTATTGATATTTTTATATATAGCAAAAATAATTGAAGCTAAGAAGTGATATGTTTTATTCAGTGTTGCTATAACAAGTAAGTGGTACAGATAGAACACAGATAGGTACAGATAGAATACAGATTCATAGGTATCTTCTGTCGTGATATACATGTCTTTTTCCAATAATCTATGCATCATACTTTTATTAGATCATAGGTGTAATTCATCCAGAAGTTACTAATCGTATTTATCAAGACTTTATTTTTTTTTTATTATACTTAAAGTTTTAGGGTACACGTGCCCAACGTGCAGGTTAGTTACATATGTATACATGTGCCATGTTGGTGTGCTGCACTCATTAACTCGTCATTTAACATTAGGTATGTCTCCTAATTCTATCCCTCCCCCCTCCCCCTACCCCACAACATGCCCCAGTGTGTGATGTTTCCCTTTCTGTGTCCATGTGTTCTCATTGTTCAATTCCCACCTATGAGTGAGAACATATTTCACGGTGTTTGGTTTTTTGTCCTTGCGATAGTTTGCTGAGAATGATGATTATCAAGACTTTAAAGTGAAATAGCAGCTGAAATTTGAATTTATTTTGTATAAGAACAAACAGCTAAGGAATTGATATATCCTCAAACAATTTAAAAATTATAACCTAAAAAGAGATGCTCAAAAATGTTGTGTATACATACCATTAAGAACAAGTAATAATTAAAGCAGATCTTCTTTAGGTGCTGGAATTTCAGTTCACATACGTGTGTTCTGTACACCTGACTTCTGCACACCTGACTTCTAATGCCTCTATGTTACACTATTTGAGAAACTCCTGGCATTATGATATTGCTCATGGCATCTTGGGCACTTATTGTGTACAGTACTACTAAATTCAACATTCCAATAAAATTGAATTTTGATTTTACTTGTGTAAACCTAAATTTGGAAAGTGAAAAAAAAGTAGGAAATGAGTTTTTACATTCAATAGAAACAGAATCTGTTCATAGTATCGTCAACGTCTATCAAAATTTTTAGTACTTTTGGTGCTTATGCAAAGCAGAACCTAGCAATTTGGGATTTTATTAATATTAAACATATGTATGATAAGTATGTGTTTAATAATTTCCATTAATTTGCAGAATAAATTTGCCATTTAAAAATCTTCATGTTCTTAGTTATTATAAAACTCCCACTTCTTTCTTAATATTACACTGAAATGTTTTAGAGATAATATACTTTTAGGACTATCACATTCATAGAAACATACATTGAATCAGGAGGGAAAATGTGTTGGCAATGTGAAATTGTCTGTGATAAAACCATGCTTATATATGGTGAGCCAATATTTTTTGAGATTGTACAATTTGGGCACCTGCAAAATATGGGTAACAATGTTAGATTTCTAGAATACTATTGTGTGTTTAATGTGACTGTTACAGAGCATGTTCACTTGCCAAGTTTTACATGCCTGGGTCTACAATACTCATGAGCTGCAAAATTGTATTTTAGCTCAGAGTACTGATCCCATGGAATAAAGTTTTGACATCTTGTGTTCAGTTGTCAGAAGAGTGATTTAGCCTAAATGTTCAGATTTTTATGACAAAACTGTACATATAAGCACTTTAAGGGTCCGTAACATACCTGATAATCATATGCTATCAGCAGAGATGGTCTCCTACTCTATGTAATTTTCCTTCCCTCTTGATGAGTTATTTGCTTTTACAATAAAGTCTTTTCATTACTTTACAAGCACATGTAGTTGAGTTTCCATAATCTTCTCATGGAAGTAAAAAAATGAAAGTGTGTTTTCAATTAGTGAAAAATTAAAATTTATCTATTCCAACTAAAAATTATCTACTTCAACCCTAATTTATAGATGAAGATATTTGAAATCAGTTGAAACTCACCTAAAATAACTCAGATCTATAAGGTTAGAGCTGAGAATAGACCCATTTTCTTATGGTGCTTTAATTATTCTTTTTTCTAAACCATTCTTAAATAATTAAAAAAGAAACACAAATTTTAAAACAGGTTTGTAGAGAAAGCATTATCCTCTTTTGGTAGGTAAATGCCCCTACCAAAATAAATAAAATAATAGTATTTCAATTTTTAAAGTGTGGCATTTGAATCAATTTGAATACATCTCACCTTTAGTTTGCAAGGGTTAGCATACACTGCTCATCTACTATTTCCTTTGTTGAGCTATAATTCACAGAATGTGCACCAATTTAAAGTATACAACTCAATGTATTTTAACAGCTATACAGTGTTATTCAACCACCACAATGTAATTTTAAAATATTTTTGTTTTCTTCTTTTTTAGCTTTATTGAGGTATAACTGACAAATAAAAATTCAAACTGTACAATCTGATTAATACATGCATAGATTGTGAAATGATTACCACATTCAAGCTAAATAACATATCCATTACATTACAAAGCTACTTTTTTTCTTCTAGAAGTTATGTTAATTAAATATGAAGGAAGTGATAGAAATAAAACGAGGCAATTACACAAAATTACATTACATTGCAAGAAACTATTTAATCTCAATTGATAGAAATCCAGTACACCTACACACTGCTACTTCATCGGAAGTAATTCCTCACATTTAAAAATTACACTGTTGTTATGAGAAAAGTTTCAAAATACAGTTGATGAAATTGAAACTTCAATAAAAAAACTTTTAAGAGTCATTTCAACTCAATTTTTGTTTACAATGAACAAATATTTGTTTTTGATATTGTCTATCTGTCTCTTATAAAATTGTTGTACTTCTTATTTTTGGTAGGTTTGTCTTTTAGTTTTCATACCAAAGATTTGAGTATTTTACACACCACAATCACAGACTGAGATTATTTTGTATTTCTTTGTGTGCTTACTTTAATCAGTAAGTTTTATACCTAGAGATGATTTCTTGTTGCTTGCCAACATTCTTTTCTTTCAGACTGAAGAATTTCCGTTAGCATTTATTGTAAAACAGCCATGGTGTTAATGAAATCCCTCAGCTTTTGTTTATCTGAGGAAATATTTATTATTTATTTCTCCTTAACCTTTGAAGCATAACTTTGCTGATTGTAATATTCTGGGTTAGAAGGTTTCTCCCCCCACCCCCCGCGCCCTTCTCTACTTTGCATATGTCATCCCAATCCCTCCTGGCTTATGAGGTATCTACTGAGAAGCCTCTTGTCAGAAGTTTCAGAGCTCGTTTACATGTTATTTGCTTTTTCATCCCCTCTTGCTGCTTTTGGGATCCTTTTATAATTCTCGACTTTTGAGAGTTTGATTATTTATATGACTTGAGGTAGTTTTATTTGGGTTGAGCCTACTTGGCGTTCTTTTGCCTTCTTGAATCAGACACTTTCCTCTTTATCTGTGTTTGTAAAGTTCTGTTATTACTTTTTTGAATAAAAGATCTACCCTAATATATTTCTCTACATCTTTTTTAAGGCCAATCATTCTTCAATAACTCATATTTGCCTTTTGACCCTATCTTCTAGATCTTATATTCATTTCCTTTTTATAATAATAATTATTATATCTCCTCTAATTATGTATTTTCATAGAAGCTATATTTGAGTTCACTAATTCTTTCTTTTGCTTGACCAATTCTCCTGCTGCGAGACTGGTCATTTTTTCAGTTTGTCAATTGAATTTTCAGCTCCAAAATTTCCACTTAATTTTTAAAATTATTTCAAACTTTTGTTAAAAACTCAGACAGAATTTTGACTTCTCTTTTTCTGTTACCTTGAATTTCACTGAGCTTCCCTAAGACAGCTATTCTAAATTTTCTGCCTGAGAAGTCACATATCTCCATCACTCCAGGACTGGTCACTGGATTCTTATTTAATCTATTTGGAAAGGTCATGATTTCCTGGATGTTCTTGATCTTGCTTATGTTCACTGATGTCTGGGCATTGAAGAGAGAAGCAATTATTCCAATCTTCCCAGTATGGACTTGTTTGTACATCCTTCTTGAAAGGGCTTTTCACATAGAACTTAAAGTATAATAAATAAATAAATAAATAAATAAATAAATAAATAAATAAAAATGGCTTTTCAAAAATCCAAAAGAAATTGAGTTTTGTTGGCTAAGCCTATGGTCACTGCAGCTGCTTCGGCACTAGTGGACACCCTAAGTCCAGGAACACTGCAACTCTTGAAACTCTTAGATACACAGTGTTGGGGGACTTAGGAAAGATAAGGGAGAATTTCCTGAGTATTCAGGCAAAGTATCTCACTCTCTTTCCCTCAAGCTGAAGGAGTCTCTTTCAGCATTGTGGTGCTTTGAGTTGAGGGAGGAGTGAAAAGGGCACTCCTGTGGCCACTGCATCTGGCACCATATTGGGATTGCATGTAAAGCCTATGGCCTCCCAGACCAGCTCGTTTCTGGGGCTTGCCCAAGGATTGTGGCCTTTACTGTCTGGCTGTTGCTGATGTTTATTCAAGGTCTAAGGCCACTTTAGTCAGCAGGTGGTGAATCCTGCTGGACTGAGTCTGTTCCACCAGGACAGAGGATTTCCTTCTGGCTAGGGGTGGGTCTGGAAATGCTATCTAAGAGCAAAAGTCTGAAATCAGGGCTTCAGTATTTTTTCTTGATGTTGTCTTTTATTGTGGCTGAGCTAGTATCCAAGTTGCAAGAAAAAGTTCACCATTCTCCTTCCCTCTGTTTTCCCCAAGGTTAAAGAGTCTCTCCTGATGCGGCACTGCCTAGAGTTGGAGGAAGAGCCACAAAGGCATGTATGTGGCCACTGCAGCTGGTGTTGTACTGGGCTCCATCACAATCCCACTGCCCGTGAGACCAGCACATCACTAGGTCTTGCCCAAAGACTGCCATCATGATGACCTGATTACAACTCAAATGTATTCAGGGTTCCACTTTAATCAGCCTGTACTGAAGCCAACCTGGGGATTCCCCTCTGCTCCAGGGCTAGTTGAAATACTTCTTCCTTGAGTACCAAAACATTCTGCCCAGTGTTGTTTTCCATTATATTGGGATGGCACCGAATCCCACATTCACTTCACTCTCCCTTTCACAAGCACAGATATTCTCTCTGCTCTGCTCTTCCTGGGGCTGAGGGGTGGTGGTGTAAAAAGTCCAAGAGTTCTGTTCTTTTTCTGTCTTCTTCAATGTCTCTTTTATTGTTATTATATTAAAACCAAGTAGTAGGATCATTCATTTGATTTTTTGTGTTTTTATGAAGATGCTTCTTGCATGGCTAGTTGTTCTAGTTGTTCAAGCTCATCACCGGAGGGTTCTATTTGGCCATAATGCACCATCTCTGACCCTACTATATTTTCTTTCTTTTTCTTCGACTTTTAAGTTCAGGAGTACATGTACAGGATGTGCAGGTTTATTACATAGGTAAATGTGTGCCATGGTGGTTTGCTACACAGATCATCCCATCACCTAGGTATTAAGGCCAGCAACCATTAGCTATTCTTCCTGATTATCTCCATTTTCCAATCCCTTCCTACAGGCCCCAGACCCCAGGCCCCAGTGTGCGTTGTTCCCCTCCCCATACTTACTTATCATTCAGCTCCCACTTATAGGTGAGAACGTGATGTGTTTGGTTTTATGTTCCTGTATTAGTTTCCTGAAAACAATGGCTTCCAACTCCATCCATGTCCCTACAAAGGACATGACCTCATTCCTTTTTGTGGTTGACCTCATTCCTTTTTATTCCGTGGTGTATATGTGCCACATTCTTTTTTTAATCCAGTCTATCACTGATGGGCATTTGAGTTGTTTCCATGTCTTTGCTGTTGTGAATAGTAAGTGCTGCGATGAACATATGTGTGTATGTATCTTTATAAGAGAATGATTTATATTCCTTTGGGTATATAACCAATGATGGGATAGCTGGGTCAAACAGTACTTCTGTTGCTAGGTCTTTGAGGAATCGCTACACTGTTTTCCACAATGGTTGAACTAATCTACCTCTCACCAACAGTGCAAAAGTGTTCCTTTTTTTTTTTTTTTTTTTGCAACCTCACCAGCATCTGTTATTTCTTGACTTTTTAATACTCATAATTCTGACTGACGTGAGATGGTGTCCTCATTGTGCTTTTGATTTGCATTTCTTTAATGATCACTGATGTTGATCTTTATTTTCATATGTTTGTTCACCACATGAATGTTTTCTTTTGAGAAGTGTCTATTTATGTCCTTTGCCCACTTTTAATGGGGTTGTTTGTTTTTTTCTTGTAAATTTGTTTAAGTTCCTTATAGATTCTGGATATGAGTCCTTTGTCAGATGAATAGATTGAAAAATTTTTCCCTGAAAACATTTCTTCCATTCTGTAGGCTGTCTGTTCACTATGATGATTGTTTGTTTTTCTGTGCAGAATCTATTTAGTTTAATTAGACCCATTTGTCAATTTTGGCTTTTGTTGCACTTGCTTTTAGTGTTTTTGTCATGAAATCTTGGCCCATGCCTATGTCCTGAATGGTATTGCCTAGATTTTATTTGAGGGTTTTTTATAGTTTTGTGTTTTACATTTAAGTATTTAACCCATCTTCAGATAGTTTTTGTATATGATGTAAAAAAGGGGTCCAGTTTCCATTTTCTGCATATGATTAGGCAGCACTTCCAGCACCCTTTATTAAATAGGGAATCATTTCTCCATTGCTTGTTTTTACCAAGTTTGTTGAAGATCAGATGGTTGTTAGTGTACAGCCTTGTTTCTGAGTTTTCTGTTCTGTTCCATTGGTCTATGTGTCTGTTTTTGTGCCAGTACCATGCTGTTTTGGTTACTGTATCCTTGTAGTGTAGTTTGAAGTCAGATAGTGTGATGCCTCCAGCATTTTTTTTTTTTTTTTTTTTTTGCTTAGGATTGTTTTCGCTATTTGGAGTCTTTTTAAAGTTCCCTGTGAATTTTAAAATAGTTTTTTTCTAATTCTGTGAAGAATGTGAGTGGTAGTCTAATGGGAATAGTATTTAATATATAAATTACTTTGGGCAGTATGACCATTTTCACAATATTGATTCTTCCTATCCATGAGCAAGGAATGTTTCTCCATTTGTTTGTGTCTTCTCTGATTTCTTTCAGCAGTGGTTTGTAGTTCTTCTTGAAGAAGTCCTTCACTTCCCTTGTTAGCTGTATTCTTGGGTACTTTATACTTTTGGTAGCAATTGTGAATGGGAGTTCACTCATGATTTGCCTCTCTCCTTGTATGTTGTTGGTGTATAGAAATGCTAGTGATTTTTGCACATTGATTTTATATCCTTAGACTTTGCTGAAGTTGCTTATCAGCTTACAAAGTTTTGAGGCTGAGATGATGGGGTTTTCTAAATATAGGATCATGTCATCTGCAAAGAGGGAGAGTTTGACTTCCTCTCTTCCTATTTGAATATCCTTTATTTTTACCTCTTGCCTGATTGCCATGGCCAGAACTTTCAATACTATGTTGAATAGGAGTGGTGAGAGAGGGTATCTTTGTCTTGCACCATTTTTTGAGGGGAATACTTCCAGATTTTACCCATTCAGTATGATATTGACTGTGGGTTTGTCATATATGCCTATTATTATTTTTAGGTGTATTCCTTCAATACCTAGTTAATGAGAGTTTTAATCATAAAGGGATGATCAGTTTTATCAAAGGCCTTTTCAGCATCTATTTAGATAATCATGTGGTTTTTGTGTTTAGTTTTGTTTATGTGATGAATCACATTTGATTTGCATATGCTGAATCAAACTTATGTCCCAGGGATGAAGCCAACTTAATTGTGGTGGATAACCTTCTTGATGTACTGCTGGATTCAGTTTGCCAGTATTTTATTGAGGATTTTTGCATCAGTGTTCATCAGTGATATTGGTCTGAAGATTTCTTTTTCTTTTTTTTGTTGTATCCCTGCCAGGTTTTGGTATCAGGATGATGATGGCCTCATAGAATGAGTTAGGGAGGAGTCCCTCCTTTTCTATTTTTTGGAATTGTTTCAATAAAAATGATACCAACTCTTTGTTGTACCTTTTGTAGAATTCAGCTATGAATCCATCTGTTTCTTGGCTTTTTTCAGTTGGTAGCCTATTTATTACTGCCTCAGTTTCAGAACTCATTGTTGGTCTACTCAGAGATTCAATTTCTTCCTGGTTCAGTCTTGGGAGGGTGGATGTGTCCAGGAATTTATCCATTTCTTATAGACTTTCTAGTTTATGTGCATATAGGTTTTTATAGTATTCTCTGATGGTTGTTTGTATTTCTGTGGGGTCCATTGTTATATTCCCCTATTCCTTTTATCATTTCTGATTGTGATTATTTGATTCTTCTCTCTTTTTTCTTTATTAATCCAGCTAGCAGTCTATTTTATTAATTTTTTCAAAAAGCAGTTCCTTGAGTCATTGATTTTTTGAAGGGTTTTTCATCTCTTTATCTCCTTCCATTCAGCTCTGATCTTGGTTATTTCTTGTCTTCTGTTAGCTCCGTTTGTTCATTGATGAACATTTAGGTTGATTTCATCACTTGGCCATTGTGAATAGTGCTGCAATAAATATGGAAGTTCAGCTCTCTCTTCAACATACTGATTTCATTTCCTGTGAATATGTACCCAATAGTGGAATTACTGGATTATGTGATAGTTTTATTTTTAATTTGTTGAGGAAACCCCATACTGCCTTCCATAACAGCTATACTAATTTAAATTTCCACCAACAGTGTATAAAAAGTATCCTCTTCTTTTAATCCTCACCAGCATTTGTTTTTGTCGTTTTTGTTGTTGTTTTTGTCTCTTGATGAAAGCCATTTTAACTGGGGCTAGGTAATATCTCTTGTTTCTTTTTATTTGTATTTTTCTGATGTCTAGTAATATGCTTTTGTCAAATAACTGCTGGCCCTTTATATGTCTTCTTTTAAGAACACTTCTTTTGAGACCTATTC
This sequence comes from Homo sapiens, assembly GCF_000001405.40. Taxonomy (NCBI): domain Eukaryota; kingdom Metazoa; phylum Chordata; class Mammalia; order Primates; family Hominidae; genus Homo; species Homo sapiens. The sequence continues at coordinate 85,230,437 of NC_000005.10, forward strand.
AGATCTTTGCTCATTTTTAATTGAACAATTTGAGTTTTTTTGTCTGTTTGCCTACTGAGTTGTTCTGGTTACTTATATAGTTTGCATGTTAACCCCATGTTGGATGCATAGTTTGCAAATACTGTTACCCATTCTGGAGGTTGTGTTGTTGCTCAATTAGTTGTTTCATTTGCTGTGAAGAAGCATTTTAGTTTGATGTAGTCATATTTGCCTATTTTTTTCTTGTCTTGCCTGTTCTTTTGAGGTGCTACCAGAAAAAGAAAAACCTTACTATGGGTCCATTATTGGAGATTTACAGGTTTCTTTTGGTGACGCTATTTTCCTTGCTTTCTTTATTTCCTTTTTTTTTTTTTTTTTAACAATTCTTGTATCTTTATGCTGATGCCCATGCATTTGCGGAGAGGGCCACCACTTCCAGCTTTTGCAGGTGTTCTTTGGGGGCGTTATATATTTATTATTTAATACTGGAACTCAATCACTGACCTGCAATTATTTCCAATTGTGGGGAAGATTTATTATTAGCATTGGAACTTACATAGTACTTTGAAACTAAATTGTTGTCCCACCTTTGTTTCCCGGCTTTGTGAAGACTTACTGAGAGAACCAGAATTGAAGACTCCACTGAAATTTAATCACAGATATACAATGATTTCTGGGTTTGAGGCAAACTTAAGTGACATCGGAAATTAACCACTAAACTTTTAGTTATTTCTAGGTCAGGGTAAGGCTCCATACCAGCACCTGGTGTTGCTGTGGTGTCGGAAATCTGTTCAGTCTCTTCATCATGGTGTCTCTGCTGATCAGAACCCAGATAAACTACCACAATTTGTGTGTCAGTTACTGCATTCAGTGCTCCTACTCTTTGTCTCCAATATACCCCATGTGTTTCAGCCCCCGTGGGACTCCCAGTGCTTCTTGTGGAATAGGACCAAAGTGGGCTTCCCACAGAAATCCCAAACTACTGAAGGGATTAAAATACACCTTCAAATTCCACTTTGGAAAAAGTGGGTCGAGAAAAATTATCCGTGAGCAGCATTGCACCTCCTTGGGAAAGGGGCTAGCATAATCTAAAACAGTTATCTTTTAGTGGTAACAGATTTTCTTATTTCTTTAGGTCCAGGGGGTGGTTTCTTCTCCCTGAAGTTCTGGTAAATATATAGTAATATTCTTGTCTTTGATTAGTTGTTAGTGGTACTTTCATTGTGGGGGTAGGTGTGATGATGCCGGGGAATATTTTTACTATCTTGCTGATATCAATGTTTACTATCTTGCTGATATCACTCCAGTTACCTTTTGTGTGTGTGTGCTTAGATTACTTAAGAGCCACTCTCCTATAAAATTTCAAGCATACAATACATTATTTTAACTTTAGTAACTATGCTTTAACTTAAATCTCTAGAACTTAGGCACATTGTAACTACAAATGTTTACCCTTTCACCAACATCTCCTACCTACCCATCTCCCTGGCCTTTAACCCCCAGTTATTACCCTTGTACTCTCTGTTTATATGATTTTGACATTTTTAGATTTCACCTATGAGGAGCCTTCAGAAACTTCGTGGAAAGTAGAATTAATAGATAAAAATGATAATGTAAGCTTTATTTCTCAATCTAAGCTCCATTAAATTTATGACACTTTTGTAAGTGATTATTACTACCATTTAGTTCATGCTTAAAGGACTGAGAGTCCTGAGAATTTAACTGTGTTAACGCAATCATTTTACATTGTTAACGAAGATAAATAAGTGCTCTTTAAATAGTTGTTAAGATTAGGCAATGAAAAAGTCAAATAGAGACCACCGAGGAGTGTAAGCCAGAAGTATAATGATTTCCCATTGAAACGCTTACAAAATTGCTCTTGTTTGATGAGAGGAATGAATAGGAGCATTCCTATTGTGGTGGAGAAGGACTATCTGGTACAGCTTTTCTCTGCTAAAATTTTGGCTAATTTTCTCAAAACACTCATATAATAAGCAGATGATATTGTTATATGCCATTCCAAAAAGTCAACCAGCAAAATGTTTTGAGCATTGCCAAAAAATGTTGTGATGACTTTTACTCCTGAGTAGTCTGCTTTTGTTTGACTGGACCACTTTTACCTCTTGGTAGCCATTGCTTTGATTGTGCTTTGTCTTCAGGATTATAGTGGCAAGGCCATGTTTTATCACCTGTTACAATTCTTCAAAAAAATCCTTCAAGTTTTGATCCCACTTGCTTAAAATTTTCATTGTAAGCTCTGCTTTTGTCTTCAGCTTACCTGGGTGCAATTTCTTTAGCACCCATTGATTGGACAGTTTTGCTCAACTCAAATTTTTCAGTCAGCTTGTGTAATCTGAATCAATTGAGATGTCTATCGTGTTCGTTATTGTTTCTGATGGTCATTGTTGGTTCTCTTTAATTAGGGCACAAAAAAGATTTTTTTTTTTCTCTCAAAGTGAGGTGAATGGTCTGCCACTGCAGGCTTCATCTTCAACTTCATCTCATCCCTTCTTAAAATGAATTATTCATTAGTAAACTGCTGATTTACTTGGGGAATTGTCTCCATAAATCCTTCATAAAACATTAATCAGTTCACCATTTTAAAACTCAAACTTCACCATATATTTGATGTTTGTTCAAGCTGAATTTTAGCAAAATTTATGTTGTTCCAATAGCCTCTTTGCAAATGGATATTTAATTCTTCTTAATGCCTTAAATTAGACCTATTCAGAAATATTAACAAGCTAATATGAGTTTATTTTGGTGCAAAATTTGGTTTTGAAATTGATGCATAGTTTTGTCATAATACACATTTTCCATGAAGTTTTTGGTTACCCTTTGTATAATTGAGATCATGACATTAATCCAAAAAGACATACAAATGGCCAACAGTTATAGGAAATGTCTTCAATATCATTGGTTATCAAAGAAATGAAAATCACAACCATAATGGTATGCCGCATCACACTTGTTGGGAAGGCTATTTTTAAAAGCAAAAGATAACAGGTGTTGGAGAGGACATGCATGAAGAAAAGAGAAACTTTATACATGTTGACTTGAATGTAACTTGGTATGGCCATTATGGAAAACAGTATGGAAGTTCCTCAAAAAAACTCCTAATATCCATATGATCCAGCAATCTCACTTCTGGATATACATTCTAAGAAAATAAAATCACTATTTTGAAGAAATATCTTCCTTCCAAATTCACTTCAGCACTATTCACAATATCCTAGATTTGAAGCAATCCAAATGTCTGTGGACAGATAAATAAATAACAAAAATGTGGCATATTATGTATACAATGGTATATTATTTAGCCTTAAAATTAATAAAAATACTGCTTTTTGCAACAACATAAGTAAAACTGGAGGAGGCTAGGTTATATGAAATAAACCAGGTAAAGATCATCTACTTTTTAATATGTAAATATGTGAATGTTTGAGTGACTTACTAAAATTTCTTATTTAAATAATGAACACTGGATAGATTAAAATGCAATTATGTTTTACTTGGGAAAACCCATTGCTAAACTGTAATGATAGCATATAATATCAATTGAGATTTACTGTGTGCCAGGTACATTGATGTATTCTTTTGCATAATATTGTGGAGTCCTTAGAAATAGTTACATTATTAAGTCAAACTGACAGATTAAGACCTGAGACTTAGAAACAGTAGGTAATTTGACCGATATCATAGAGATGTCAAGTGTAAGAGATAGTATTTTACTCTAGCATCTCTCTTGAGAACACATGCTATCAAGCACCATGATACATTATTTCATATAGCACCTCAGGAGACTGTGTTTAAAATGAGTTATTGAAATAAAAGGGTTTCAGACTTTCTATTCCACCATAAGAAGTACCAGTATAAAACAATTTTCTGTGTAAATGATTTACCTCTACCATGACAAAAAACACCAAAATAATTTCCCTCCCTTTGCTTCACATTAGAAATTAAAATTCAAGTATCTTGCACTCCTCCATTTCTTATTGTGCTCAGGTAAAGCACAGCGTAGGCACATTGGGTGAAGTCTTTGGATTTTGTTTGTAATTACATCTTAACCTTTGTATGTCTTATTTTAAAATTTAAAATTTCATGTTTCTTGATTATGCAAAATTGCAAATGATAAAAATGATCCCAGAAATTATCGACCTCTCTGTTCCTGAGAAAATAAAGAATAATTGAACCTCTATTAATTAAAGTAACTTAAAACCTAAATTTCAAACCTCTTGTATTATATGGTTTCCCCTGCCACAGTAATATTTCTGAAACCCAGTTATTTGTACAATCTAACTTGCTATTGACAAATATAGAATACAGTTACTAGTTAGTGCTGTCTGGGAAAAAGTTAGGCAGCAAAGTACAAGAGAATATGAAAGGCTTTCTTAAGAAATCTGAGTCATCTTCAAACCATATATTTTGAGACAATTAACACTGACTCTAAGTATTGTGCTAGTTCTGCTCATATAGTAGCCCCTTTTTGGATAGCCTTATTAATTTATCATTCTCCCTGGGTATAACAGTGAATGAATTCATGTGATTTTCTTCTAAGTTGATTAGCTTAAGAATGCACATTTTATCTAGGTTGAGACAGAAAGAATAATTAACTTCAGGTTGCTGAAACTAATATGCAAAATTTTACAAAATTACATTATGAAAATATAAAAGCTAAGGCAGATTTTTTTTCAGATAGAGAGTATTAATCAATTTGGGACACACGAAACCATCTAACAGCAAGTCGTAAACACTTTTTAATGCCTGGTTGAGTCTGGATGGGCTCTGGATTTATTAAGAAGGCTCTGAGCCTTAATAAATATTTTTTCCTGTATGATTAGGTGGGCTTAGTGTTACTTCTCTAACCTGTAACCAAAGAAACACAGTGGAAAGAACTAATTTACCTGACTACCAGAAAAGCCCTTAATTTGCAAATCTCAGGTTGATCATAACCCTTATTTTCTTCGTTGTTGTGAGAATTAAACCAGAAATTTATGTATGTTTCCAAGCATAATACCTGATCAAAGGTAAGGCTCAGATATGCTATCTGTTATCAATTACCAAAACAAACACACAGAAATCACTCTCTACTCAGATTTATCTTGGTCTTTAGCGCATATTTAAGAAATAGGGCAGGGTTTTCTGCTCTGCTTTAGGGACTTTTCACGTTTAACCTCAAATTACCAAAGGAGAAAAAATATTTGAAAAGACACCATTATTATTTGTTACCACTTATTTACCCAAAATAAAATAAAAACATACTGTAAATGTCCCTTACTTACAATTAATCATGCAAATTGTTCTTATTTACAAATGAAAGGTGATATTTAAATTGGGAAACACCATATTCCTGTAATAATTTCTAAATTTTACAAAAGGAATATATTTTGAGTTATATGGCATATACTAGCATTGTCATTTTGCACGTTTGATAATATAAGGGAAGAAAGACATGATGTATTATATTCTGATTATAATTTAACCATTTTAGTTCTATGAAATGTATTATAACAATTTGCCCCAAGGTAGAAGTATAACTTTAAAAATTCTGCAGAGAATTGCTTTATAATAAGTATAATTATGTAATTATAAAGATATTCCTTCCCCCAGCCAAGCTCCCCAAAGGATTATAAATCATTCTACTATAAAGACACGTGCACACATATGTTTATTGCAGCACTGTTCACAATAGCAGAGTCTTGGTACCAACCCAAATGCCCATCAATGATAGACTGGATAAAGAAGATGTGGCACATATACACCATGGAATACTATGCAGCCATAATAAGGATGAGTTCATGTCCTTTGCAGGAACATGGATGAAACTGGAAACCATCATTCTCAGCAAAGTAACATAGGAAGAGAAAACCAAACACTGCATGTTCTCACTCATAATTGGGAGTTGAATAATGAGAAAACATGGACACAGGGAGGGGAACATCACACACTGGTGCCTGTCAGGGGATCGGGGGCCAGGGGAGAGATAACATTAGGAGAAATACCTAATGTAAATGATGAATTGATGGGTGCAGCAAACCAACATGACACATGTAAGAGCAACCACCAGAAGAATAAAAATTATTTGGATCACTTTCAAACCAATAGAAGTAAAAAATAATAAATAAATAAATAAATTAAAAAAAGGTATTCCTTTGGCCCAATAGGGTTTTATTTTGCTTTGGATGGTTATATTTTAGTGCTTTCTTTCATAAACAAATCTCTAAATATGTCAAGGTATTATTATGTAAGAATAAAATAGATGGGCTAAAGTTATAATAGAATCCAATGTATCAGATATTTTTAATGCCTGGAGTACAGAAAGTTCAAAATTATACAAGATCAGCTCCATTTACAATAATAGTAATCATTCTATTTTTTCTAAATCTGTGAGTCACTTCAATAGGGTTTAATAGAAAGATATAGCAGTTGACATTTTTATAAATATTCTGGAACTTAGTCACAGGTCAGTTATATTCCACAGAAGGAATTTCACTGGAACTGTTGCAAAATGAGCATTTTAAAAAATCCCTTTCTGATTGCTGTACTTATTTTCTCACCTTCAGAAAAGAATTTTCTTTTAAGTCCTTTTCTTGGATTCAAAAAGCAGACTATTGCTGACAATTGTGTGTGTGTGTGTGTGTGTGTGTGTGTGTGTTTTATTTACAGCACAAAATATTACTTACCTTTCTTGTGACAGTGGCAGTAGAAGTTGGAGGTAATATCATCAATGTCAATATCAAAATGTACATTTCAGCAATGTTAAAAATCACAAGTGTAGAGCACTGGAAAAAAAATGCTGTGACTCTTTCCCCTTGGGCTGCTGTTTGTCATTTTTATTTTGGCAGATGGTGAGTGTGAGGGTTGCTGTGCTAATGAGAGAGGAAAACCAAGTCTTCTTTGAGCTCAAGGCATCATTTAAGCCACTGCTCCCTCTACTTCCAAGAGGTTCTCGAATCATAGGAAATTGAGTGATCACTATTGAAGGTACAAAACTGGAAGTTACAGACTTAGTCTTGGCTTCTATAGAGACAGAAGTACATTTTTTATATTAAAATATTGTGCTGATTTACATTATTTTAAAATTTACCTTAATTTTAAAGGAAAAGCTAAAAGAATATTAGGGAGTAATTTATGTAGAATTTTGATTTTGTGCGCTGATGGTGGAGCATAATGCCTCTTCCTCAAGTTGCCCTAGGAAGACATACTCTCCATTCTTGATTTAAAGACCAAAGTAATAATATATTCTACAAGGACCTCTTTATTTGAGTGTTTTGTTCTCAATTAGGCTGGTGAATAGAGTTAAAATGAGAATGAGAAATAAGTACAAGAGGGATGACGCTTGGCCAATAATGGTGAAGGGGTGTTCTGTGGGCTGTCTCTCAATCCGTATAAGTGTAAGAAGGTATGCTGCTAGAATTCAAAATAGATATTGACTTAATGGTTGGAATATTATGCTTCATTATTTGGATAAATGGATTATTGGCACCTTGGTTAAGAGAAGAACAGGGCGAATACTCCTAGTTAGTTAGGGATGGATCATAGGATTGCATAACAAACAGGAAATATCACTCTAGTTTAATATGGAGTGGTGTATTAAGGCAATATACTGGGATATAATTGTCTGGGTCTCCTAAGAGGTCAGGTGAAAACTGAACCAATATGAATGAAAGTAATAAGAGAAAAAACTGATTATGTTATATAGATACTAGATACTACACACACATATATATATGGTGTATAATTAAAAACCTATGCATTTTAACCTATTTTTCATAAGTAACAAAATATATACACGAAAGTTTTCACTGCTATATTTGAAGGTTGCTTAAATTTAATCAGGTAAAAAAAATTCAGCAACCACTTTTTAATCCTCTCTCCTGGAACATGCTATAGAATAAATTGTGTTCCCTCAAATTCATATGTTAAAATCCTAACTCCTAATGTCACTGCATTTGGGGACAGGGTCTTCAGGAGGTAAATAATGTTAAATGAAGTCATAGGGTGAAGTCCTGGTCAGATAATTAGATAGGATTAACATCCTTTTAAGAAGAGACACCAGAAAGCTTATTCTCTCTCTCTCTTTCACTCTCTCTCTCTCTCTCTCTCTGTCATCTCTCTGTCACTGTGTGCCCTCACCTAGAAAGATGTCATGTAAGGTCACAGTGAGAGGGTGGCTGCTTGCAATCTAGACAGTAGATCTTCATCAGGAACTGAATGAGCTAGCAAGCTGTACTGGAATTTTTGCCCTCTGGAGCTGTGTGAAATTAATTTTTGATGTTTAAGCCACCCAGTGTATGAAAGTCTGCAATATTTTGTTATGGCAGCCCTGGCTGGCTAATACCACACATAAGCAAAAAAAATAATAATCCAGAAGGTGATACAGACAGAAGATATTCTATTCACTATTCTCACATAAGGATGCAAAAACCTACAAAAAGAAATGAGGTGAGAATACTTATGTTTTGAGAATATTTCTGTTACTATTATTTCACCTACTTTGTTTTTCCCTTCTAATCAAAAACTACAAATCCCAATCTAAGTTTTATATTTGTTTGCTTTTCTTCTTTAAAATTATATCATCTAATTACTCAATTCAGCAGTTTCCATGTACTTTTTAAATATCTACTCCTTTCAATTAAAAAAAATAAGACTAAAGAGATTGTACATACTCTACAATTCTAACGTTATGCACACTGTAAAACATGCAAATATTGATTTAAAAGGGTGAGTTAAAATTGGAACAGAAATTACAGTGATCTCTCTCATCATCCCAATGATTAACTTGGTCATCATCTAGGCACCACTACATACTTCTTAGACACCACTGCACTAATCTGTAAATCATTAAAGCTTAAGAAAAAGTCAGGTTTTACATTGTGTATCTTGGTCTCCAAATAGTTAAATGATTTTTAACTGTATAAACTAATGAAGATATAAGAATTGATACTCAATATCATCCATTTCTCTTTACTTCTAGGTATTTTCTCCCCAACACATTGTTCTCAGAATTTCTGAAAGTTCACACCTTTTTACTTTTATAATTGAATACTCTCAATCCAAGAAAACTTTGTACATAATGATATATACAGTTAGAAGATTCAAAGTTATCTTGAGCACTTTTCTCCAACAGCAGTTAATGTAGCCTGTGCTAGGTCAACACAGAGACCCAAGTCTTCATTGAGTCTACAGTCACTATGATAAAAGAGCAGTAAGATTTCTGTGTGTGTGGCATCTAAATAGTGCTATAGGAAATAGCCACAAAATTAATAATAAATCTCACATTTTAAGTTTTAGAAATAAAACAAGAAGACATTTATGCAGCCAACAGACACGTGAAAAACTGTTCATCATCACTGGCCATCAGAGAAATGCAAATCAAAACCACAATGAGATACCATCTCACACCAGTTAGAATGGCGATCATTAAAAAGTCAGGAAACAGCAGGTGCTGGAGAGGATGTGGAGAAATAGGAACACTTTTACACTGTTGGTGGGACTGTAAACTAGTTCAACCATTGTGGAAGACAGTGTGGAGATTCCTCAAGGATCTAGAACTAGTAATACCATTTGACCCAGCCATCCCATTACTGGGTATATACCCAAAGGATTATAAATCATGCTGCTATAAAGGCACATGCACACATATGTTTATTGTGGCACTATTCACAATAGCAAAGACTTGGAACCAACCCAAATGTCCATCAATGATCGACTGGATTAAGAAAATGTGGCACATATACACCATGGAATACTATGCAGCCATAAAAAAGGATGAGTTCTTGTCCTTTGTAGGGACATGGATGAAGCTGGAAACCATCATTCTCAGCAAACTAACACAAGAACAGAAAGCCAAACACCACATGTTCTCACTCATAGGTGGGAATTGAACAATGAGAACACTTGGACACAGGAAGGGGAACATCACACACTGGGGCCTGTTGTGTGGTGGGGGAATGGGGGAGGGAAAGCATTAGGAGATACACCCAATGTAAATGATGAGTTAATGGGTACGGCACACCAACATGGCACATGTATACATATGCAACAAACATGCACGTTGTGCACATGTACCCTAGAACTTAAAGTATAATAATAATTAAAAAAAGAAATAAACCAGGAATAAATATTTGCAGTGAAACAGCACAGGGCCTATTATTTCATTTCTGATGGCAGTTTGCCTACTGATTCAAATTATGTGACTTTAGGTATTTCAGATTTTAAAAAAAATTAAAGAGGATTTGAATTATTATACTGGTTTCTTTGAAATTAGGCATGCTACCATGTGCTGTGTGTTTAAATTCCGGTGCTCAATGTTTTGTGCTGAATCAGATGATAAATCAGAATGCACCCCTACTGCCTTTATGAATTTTATGGCAATGAATGATGTTATGAAGAATTTATGAGGGGAAAATCTTCGCTAACTAAGTAGTTACTGCCTTTTCCACAGGAATAAATCCTATCTACCTGAGACCAGAAGTATAAAGTTCTTGACACTATAGGATTCGTAACTGACAGGCACAGTTCCAGGTTCTTAATCATGGAGGGATGTTTTCCTGTTATAAATGTAAAAATGAGCCAGAATAAGAAAATTAATAGAGCTCCCCAAGTAATCAATCCAAATACCCTTTGACTGTGTATGCACCACTCTGGGAGGAGACTCGGACTTTTTACTTACTGAGTAAACAATGACATTTGAACTCTTTACATACTCTCTCTTTTATTTAGAAGTTTGCATATGCATTTAGTTGCAATTGACAAGATAGCTGCATTAAGCCCTGTAAAATTATATAATTGTATTAAAATATCTGAGGTTTACACACACACACAAAAGCACTTTCATTCATTCAATCAATTCAATCATTTATACTCAGGAGGAGGGTAGTTCTCTTCCTTTGTTATTCAGTCAGATTGGGCAAATTCAGTGACTCATAGGATCATGGAATTTTATGTTCCATTTTTCTTAAAATCTTGTGAGTACACAGTAGTTCAGATAAAGGCCTTGCTATACAAACAGAGTCTACAGTTGCCCACTCTGAACAAGCATGATTTATTTAGCTGAATTAACACATGCTGAGAGTGATATAACTTTTTATGTATACTTACTGAATAAGTCAATTTTAATGTTATTTCGCCACATGCTGAAAAGCTTACCAATAGTATTCTTCCATTCCAACTTCTGAATGTCATAAATATTGATTTAATGCAAACACCAGCTTCATTATTTACACTGTGCAATAATAATCTTGGACATGATTATGTTGAAAGTGTTGAGAATGTGTTTTAAAATATTTTCAAACTTAGTTTTAAAGAGGAAATATATGCACATGCAGTGAAATGTAAATCACCTTCCCACCACATCTCAGCCACTAGAAATGCCCTTTCCACTGATATTAGATTTGGGTATAATTTGTTTACCAATTTCCATAGATGACCCATTTATATCCTAAGATATGCGTAGACATAATACATTTTTATTCAAATGATAACATAGTTTGTATACAAATGCTAATATAGTATACATAGTATTCTAAATCTCATCTTTTAAATTTACAGTCTTGATTTTATCTTGGAGATTATTTCCTAACAAAACATATAGTTGGCATATTTTAATGGTTACTGACATTATGTTTAATAATGCTCTATTATTTACTAAAGTCACTTGATATTTTGCCTTTAGATTATTATCAGTGTTTTGAAAGTATTAACAGTGCTACCATTTACATGCTCAGTTCATAAATGCACATTCTTTTCTAACAGTAGGTCATAAAGAATGTCATATTCTTAACTTAGATAGATATTGACAATTGTATCCCATACTCTGATTCAATTCGTGGACTGTCTCCTCAATTGTATGGATGAGTGGCAATTTTCCATACTTTCTCCACTACTATCATCAAATTGTTTCATTTTGTTAATTGAGTGCTGAATTACTTCAGATCATGTATCAGTTTTCCATACCACTATAGCTCTAGATGATAGAAATATATAGTGATTTTTAAGTCACTCCTTCTTATATGAACCAGCTGACTATCGTTTTTTATTTTAGTGCTCAATTCTCTATTTATTTATTTATTCTATTTATCTATTTATTTATTCTATTTATTTATTTATTTATTTATTTATTTATTCGAAATGGAGTCTCGCTTTGTCACCCAGGTTGGAGTGCAGTGGTGCGATCTTGTCTCACTGCAACTTCAGCCTCCCGGGTTTAATTGATTCTTCTGCCTCAACCTCCCAAGTAGCTGGAATTACAGGCACCCACCATCACACCTGGCTAATTTTTCTATTTTTAGTAGAGATGGGGTTTCACCATGTTGGGCAGGCTGGTCTCAAACTCCTAACCTCAAGTGATCTGCTCACCTAGGCCTCCTAAAGTGCTGGATGAGCCACCGCATCTGACCAAGTGCTCATTTCATATTATATTTTAGACCTCTTGTACATATCTTTTGTACATTGTGGTGTGGGGGTCCAGTATTTATAAAGGGATAGTTTATTAGCTTGGTGCAAAAAAGTAATTGCGATTTTTGCCATTGAAAGTAGTGGCAAAAACTGCAATGACTTTTGCACCAACTTAATATATTTTACATCTTCAAAACTAAATACATTAAAAAAATAGAAGTGAAAGTTCTCTACATTCCAAATTCAATTGGCTGAATATCAAAAATCGGAATCAAATGTGTAGTTGTTTGAAACGTATAATAGGTGTTAACACTGATGGCGAGCAGTCTTGGTTACTGCTAATGTTAAGAGAAACTTAACAGAGTTAGAGTTAATTTGAACCATTCTCCTCCATTATCAGATTATTCCAAGGATCTTTACATAAAATATTTTATATTTGGTTTTTGTATCTGCCTACTTTTACAATAAATCCTATCTCAGTGAAACATTTTTAAAGCAATTTGTGGCGAATGCAAAAGATAGAGAAAGGTAATAGAGGAAAAGAGGATGTTGTTATGCATGCAAATAATTTGTTCATTAATAATATCAACCATTTAGTGATTGGAAAATAATGTTTAAAGTGGTTTATAAACTAATATGATTGTAGTTTGTTGCTTATTTGCACATAGCTTATATGTTTTAGTTTGGGAATTTGAGTTTTAAATATACTTATTCTAGTTGAGAAGAACTTGAGAATTTTTAGGAATATATTATTGTCTTCAAGTCAATGAAGACCCCGATAAATCTTCACATAACATACAAGCAGTTACTGCTTTGATAGCCAAACTCAGAGACAAGGGCCAGTGGTTCTACTCCATTGAAATAATTGTTCTCAGATACTCAGACCAAATAATTATGGTCTAAATAAATGTGGCCTGAAGACATCTTGGAAATACAGTATTATCAAGACTCCCCCAAGTTTTACTACAACTCACGTCTATGGTGTTTGCATTAATATCATATCTAAAATCAATCTCCGTAATTTCAAACAAAACAACTACATGATTGGTGAAAAATATCCAACAGACACAAGTAAAAGTATATACTTTCTTTAATGAAACAGGACACAGCCTTATGAAGAGAGTTATACAATTCAGGAGAATAGAAGAACTTGTCACCAAAGGGTTGTAGAGTTGATGATACCCTCGCCTCAGGAGCAGCAACTACCACCCTTAACCATTCTCATGGGAGTTCTGGTCCATCCTGCCATGCTCCTTACTCTCACTTCCATTTCACTAGTGCATACATGTGAGTGTGTGTGAGTGTGGAGACACTGCTTATATATCCATCTGGCAAATAACTGGAGCAAACCATTCTCAGTATATTATTATTTACTGTAAGACTGACTAAATTCAATTCATTAAGCAATCTAACTAAGCCTCAATAGTCAAATATATACAGTTTTTAAAAGCAGCAGCATAAATACCTTTTCATGTATTGGATGAAGAATGCCAAACTAACTGGTTATTGTTTTAATATGATAAGATAGCGTATTTGAATTACTAATAAATATTTTTTATCTTTTTTAACACATGACTCACCATTCCTGTTAAGAGGCACATAATGCACTTTCTGCTGATTGCCTGGAGTAAGAGATAGCAAAATAAAACACAGTAGCCAAGTAGTTGCTCCTATTCCACTTGATTTTTGAGTTACATACTTATAAACTTTAAACTAAGAAACTGAAATATCTTATGTTAAGATAGAAATATAAATATTTGGATCAATGGAGATGATAAAGAGCAATGCTTATGTCTCCTGAGGTTTGAAAAGGTTTCCTGCACTAAGGAAGTGGGCATGTCAGATGAGAAGCAAAGAATATTATTAGTGGGTCTGTATTAGTCAGGGTTCTCTAGAGGGACAGAACTAATGGATACATATATATATAACATTAGAAGGGGAGTTTATATATATTAGAAAGGGAGTTTATTAAGTATTAACTCACATGATTATGAGGTCTCACAATAGGCTGTCTGCAAGCTGAGGAGCAAGGAGAAACAGTCTGACTCCCAAAACTGAAGAACTTGGAATCTGTTGTTCAAGGGTAGGAAGCATCCAGCATGGCAGAAAGATGTAGGCTGAGAGGCTAGGCCAGTCTCTCTTTTCATGTTTTTTTCTGCCTGCTTTATATTTCAGCTGATTAGATGGTGCCTACCCAGATTAAGGGTGGGTCTGCCTTTCCCGGGCCACTGACTCAAATGTAAATCTCCTTTGGCAACAACCTCACAGACACACCCAGAATCAATACTCTGCATCCTTAAATTCAATCTAGCTGACAGTATTAACCATCACAAGTCCACCCCTTGTCAACTTGAATGCATACACTTCTCCTGAGATCATACATAATCTTCAAACAAAGACAATAATAAGGTCATAATTACACCTAACATAATGCAACTATCCTTTGTACAACTGTAATACAACAGTCTCTAATCCAAATACTATTACATAAAGTTAACAATACTTAAATGCTGATAGGAAGTCAATAAGTCTTATGTCACATGATAAAGGAAAAAGGAAATAAAATGAAGTTTTTTTTAGTACAAGGGTATACATAAATGTTTTTCACAAAAAAATGCACACATAATGTTTTTAACAAAAGAAGAAGGAAACACTGATGACAATTACAGTCCTTGTTTCTGCAGCTGGTCATGTGGTTGTAGCTGGTATTGATGACTACCTACCTCTACTATCCATTCTATATTCCCTTTGCCTTCAGCAAGCACATCAGCAGGTCATGTTTTCTTTTTTCTTTCTCCATTTATTTTTCTTTCCTTTCTTTTTTTTTTTTTTTCTGGTGGAATGACCCAAACATTCATTCCTTAAGGGTCTGGGCCGTTTGTAGTCCTGCCTGGATTGAGCTGTTGTAGTTTCCCATTGACCTTAATCACAGAGCATGGTAATACTAAGAGATGCCATAATGGATCTTCTGTATTCCATGCATACTCTTCCTTACCTCCATTATGGAGTAGTAGACTGATTTCAATTTGATAGTCCGGGTCAATCACCCCAGCCAACCCTGTAACTCCCTTCTTAGCCTATTGACTTAAATGTGGAAGCCCAAAGTGTCCAGGTGGCAATCTTAATTTCCAGTTTAATGGAATGGTTGTTGTGTCTCCTGGTGGCAGCTTTCCTCCCTCTGGAACAAAGACTTCTAGCTAGGCCAGCAGAATGTAATGTCACAGGAACAGGAAACAAAAATTTTGCTATTGGAACACTAGGGGTGATGGTGACTGGTGCCACTTCTGCTTCCACCCCTCGATTCCTGGACCTGTGAATCCTGGCTATGGGAGAAACTGTACCATATATTAGATGCTTATTCAGAGCATACATGGCCTTCTGGAGAGCTTTGCCCCAGCCCTGCAAAGAATTGTCCCCTACGTAATCGTGACTTCAAAAGACCATTCCATTATTCTGTCAATCCAGCTGCTTCAGGATGATGGGGAACAAGGTAAGATCAGTGAATTCCATGAGCTTGAGCCCACTGCTGCACTTCTTGCTGTAAAGTGAGTGCCTTGGTCAGAGGCAATGCTATGTGGAATATCATGACGGTGGATAAGGCATTCCATGAGTCCGTGGATGGTAGTCTTGGCAGAAGCATTGTGTGCAGGATAGGCAAATCCATTTCCAGAGTAAGTGTCTATTCCAGTGAGGACAAACCTCTGCTCTTTCCATGATAGAAGAGGTCCAATATAACCCACCTGGTGACAGGTGGCTGATCACCCCGAGGAATGGTGCCATACTGAGGGCTCAGTGTTGGTCTCTGCTGCTGGCAAATTGGGCACTCAGCAGTGGCCATAGCCAGTTCAGCCTTGGGGAGTGGAAGTCCATGGTGCCTAGCCCATGCATATCCTCCATCCCTGCCACCACTGTTACTTTGTTCATGGGCCCATTGGGCGATGGCAGAAGTGGCTGCAGAAAGAGGCTGAGTGGTTTCCACAGAATGGATCATCCTGTTACTTGATTATTAAAACTCTCGTCTGCTGAGGTTGCTCATTGGTGAGCATTCACAGGGGATACAAATATCTTCACAGTTTTTGACCACTCAGAGAAGTCCATCCACATATCTCTTCACCAAATTTCTTTGTCACCAATTTTCCAATCAGGCTTCTTCCAAGTCCGTGACCATCCACCAAAACCATTAGCTACAGCCCATGAGTCAGTATACAATCGCACATCTGCCCATTTCTCCTTTCATGCAAAGTGCACAACCAGGTGCACTGCTTGAAATTCTGCCCACTGGGAAGATTTCCCTTCACTGCTGTCCTTTAAGGATGTCCTAGAAAGGGGCTGTAGTGCTGCATCTGTCCACTTTTGGATAATGCCTGCATATAGTGCAGAACCATCTGTGAGCCAGGTCTTAATCTTCTCTTCCTCTGTCAACTGATTATAGGGAACTCCCCATGAGGCCATGAATGCAGGCTAGGGGAGAGAAGGCAGGAGTGGAGACCATGTGCATTTGAGCCAGTTCCTCATGTAACTTACTTATGCTTTCAGGACCTGCTCGAGCTTGATAAGGTATATACCACTTCCATTTGATGATGGAATGCTGCTATGCATGTCCCACTTTATGGCTAGATGGGTCAGAAAAGCACCCAGTTCATGATATGCAGTTCAGGTCACATGGTGACTTGATGACCCATAGTCAAATGTTCAGTTTTCACCAAAGCCCAGTAACAGGCCAAGAGCTGTCTCTTAAAAGGAGAATAGTTTTCTGCAAAAGATGGCAGGAACTTTCTCCAAAATCCTAGAGGCCTCCACTGTGATTCACCTATGCGGGCCTACCAAAGGCTACAAACAGCATCCCTATCTGCCACTGACGCCTCAATTACCCTTGTATCTGCTGCATTATATGGCCCAAGTGGCAAAGCAACTTGCACAGCAGACTGGACCTATTGCAGAGTCTTCTCCTGTTCTGGACCCCACTGAAAACTGGCAGCCTTTTGGGCCACTTGATAAATGGGCAGGAGTAACACACCCAAATGAGGAATGTGTTGCCTCCAAAATCCAAATAGGCCCACTAGGTGTTGTGCCTCTTTCTTGGTTGTAGGGGGATGGGGGCAAATACAGCAACTTATACTTCACCTTAGAAGGAATTTATTGACAGGCCCCACACTACTGGACCCCTAGAAATTTTACTGAGGTACAAGGTCCCTGAATTTTACTAGGATTTATTTACCATTTTCTGGCACGCAAAGGTCTCACCAATAAGTTCAGTGTGTTTGCTACTTTTCAGTCAATGGATCCAATCAGCATAATGTTACCAATGTAATGGACCAGTGTGATATCTTGCAAAAGCAAAAAGTGATCAAGGTCTCTCTGAATAATATTACTTGACACAAAGTTGAAGGGTTGATATACCCCTGAGATAAGACAGTAAAGGTATATTGTTGGGCTTGCCAGTTGAAGGCAAATTGCTTCTGGTGCACCTTATGGAGAGGAATGGAGAAAAAGGCATTTGCCAAGTCAATGTCTGACTACCAGGTACCAGGAGATGTGTTAATTTGCTCAATCAATGAAAGCACATCTGGTATAGCAGCTGCAATTAGAGTCACCACTTGGTTAAGCTTATGATAATCAACTGTCATTCTCTAAGATCCATCTGTCTTCTGCACAGGCCAAATGACAGAGTTGACTGTGGATGTGGTAGGAATCACCACCCTTGTGTCTTTCAATTCCTTGATGGTGGCACTAATCTTCACAATCCCTCCAGGGATATGATATTGTTTTTGATTTACTGTTTTCCTCGGTAGAGACAGCTCTAATGGCTTCCATTTGGCCTTTCCCACCATAATAGCCCTCACATTACCAGTTAGGGAGCCAATGTGGGGGTTCTGCCAGCTGCCAAGTATGTCTATGCCAATTATGCATTCTGGCGCTGGGGAAATGACCACAGGACGAGACCAGGCACCCACTGGACCCACTAAGTCAAACTGTAGCTAAAACTCCATTAATTACCTCACCTCCATAAGCCCCTACTTTGACTGGAGGACCACAATGACATTTTGGGTTCCCTGGAATCAATGTCAGCTCAGAGCTAGTGTCCAGGAGTCCCCGAAATGTCTGATTATTTCCCTTTCCCCAGGGTACAGTTACCCTGGTAAAAGGCCAGATCTCCTTGGGGAAGGATGGGAGAAACATTAACAGCATAAATTGTCAGCTGTATAGTAGGGTCCTTCATCAAGGGGAACCATCCTCTCCTTCATTCAAGGGGTTCTGGTTCTGTAAACAGAGTCAAGTCTGGAAATTGACTGAGGGGCCATGATTTTCTATTTATAATTCAAATTCACTTTTTTGTCCATTTGACTTAGAATTTTTCTGCTTATATAAATTAAGTAGGAATGCATAGACTTCCTATTAATTTCACTTCTAGGAACACCACGATTAATTAGCCAATGCCAGAGCTCTACATGATTCAGACTATTCTGATTGCTGCTTTGCTTCTGCTGTCCATTATGGTAGCTATGCCCACCTTGCCTTTGTCAGTTGAGTGGCACCACTTGGCCACTGCCACCTCGGGATCCAATTATTCTCATTGTATTTAAATGTTGTAGTTGAGTGACTGTGGTTCCCACTGTTAGATCTGACATACAGGAAGAGCAATTACAAGGCTCTTCAAAGATGAGATGCTGCCCTCACAAATCTATTTCACAAGGCATTGGTCCAGGGTATATTTTCTGGACACTCCCAGCTAGGATGAGTAGGTTTAAAGTGACTAATCCACTCCACCATCCCAATCTCCCTAAGCCTTTGTATCCCTTCCTTTACAGTAAACCAAGGGAGATCAGGCATTTCCAGCTCACTCACAGTGAGCCATCTTTTAATCCATATCTCAGGTAACCAAGCAAATAAACTATTAGAACCTCTTTTAACTCCCAAGCTGCAACATTATATGCAGAGTCCCTACTTAGTGGGCTCAAATCAATAAATTCAGCCTGATGCAACTCTATGTTTCTTCCACCATTATCCCACACGTGTAATATCCATTCTCATGCCTGTTCTCTAGATTTCTGCTTGTATAAATTAGAAAACTCAAGCAGTTCTTTGGAGTGTAATGTACTTCCTCATGGGTCACATTCTCAACCTCACCTCAAGAGGCCCGCCAGGACTTTAGTCTGGTTATAGGTATAGAAGCAAACAGGGGTGTTGGGGTCAGCACCTGAGGAGAATCAACATTATCTTGCCTGGCAACTGTCTCAGGGGAGGCCATCATTGTTGCCCCAGGCAGGGTTTATCTTCTCAGACAAAGGTGGAAAGCCTGATGGCAACATGGGTCAGGGAGGGAATGTTGCCACTACTGAGGATAGGGAAGCTGTTTCTTCTGGCAAAAAATGTTCATCAGTGTTTACAAACTCAGTGTCCTCAGCTCCATCAGTGTCCTCCCACACATCCCCATTCCACGTTTCAGGGTCCCATTCTTTTCCAATCAATGCTCTCACTTTAACAGTAGACACCTGGCAGGGCTGTGCATGCACCTTTCATTGCAGGTCAGCCATTTGCATGATAAGAGCTTGTGTCAGTTTTCCCACAATTTCAGCTCTTTCTCTACAGGAGATAAGACTCTCTCTCAATCAGGGCAATCTTAGCAGATTTGAAGCTTAGTATCTGCTTCTAAAGGCATGAGTTAGAATCCCAGAGTTCATCATTTTCTTTTATCATTTTATCCACTGAACTTAGAGTAACCAACCAACTTCATTATGTTCCTTGGTTCTCCACATATGGCCAAAGGTATTATGTATAGAGTTACTAAACTCCTTGTCTCTCACAAGCGGCAAATCGGGAGTGTCAAATGCATTTATTTTGCATAACTCTCTAAACAGTTCACGCCAAAGTCTATCAGTGTTCTCCATACTATTAGCAGTAGAGTCCTTAGCATTTTGGGGTCAATCATATGAAGCAGCCAACTCCAGAAACCACAAAACCAATGAAAGAATTTCATTCTTAATATTCTGTTCCTCTAGAACCATTCTTGGTACCAAAATCTGTATCAGTCAGGGTTCGCTAGAGAGACAGGGAGTTTATTAAGTATTAACTCGCACAATCACAAGGTCCTACAATAGGGCATCTGCAAGCTGATGAGGAAGGGGAGACAATCTGAGTCCCAACACTGAAGAACTTGTAGTCCAATGTTTGAGAACAGGAAATATCCAGCATGGGAGAAAGATGTAGGCTGGGAGCCTAGGCCAGTTTAGTCTTTTCACGTTTTTCTGCCAGCTTTGTATTCCAGCCGTGCTGGCAGCTGATTAAATGGTGCCCACCAAGATTAAGGATGGGTCTGCCTTCCCAGCCCACTGACTCAAATGTTAATCTGCTTTGGCAACACCCTCACAGACACACCCGGGATCAATTCTTTACATCTTTCAATCCAATCAAGTTGACAATCAGTATTAACCATCACAGGGTCCTTGAGAAAAAGATAGTCAGATAGAATGCTGTGTCTTGTAGCTTCTCTTTCATATATTTGTTTGTTGTAGGGAACTAAAAATTTCCAAAAGTTTTTTTAAACCTGAGAGCAGAGAGGCTAGTATCTTTCTTTCCAGTTTTCTTTAGGGAGGAGACAAAATCCTTTGTGTTGGCTATCATTAATTATCACTCAGTGGAGGAGTCTAGGAAAAATTTTTGAGTTTAGTTATACAAAATTGAATCAAAGAAACGTTTCTTGCATATCTGAATTTATGGATTTAAATTGGCAACTGTAAATAAGAAAGGATTTTGAAACACATAAAAAATAGCTAGATTAACGACATACTTTACATTTTATAAGAGAAATAATATTTGCCAACTAAAAAAATTCTTCATTTGGATGTGCTATGAAAGAAAATGGCTCTTGAAGAATTAGTTTCTCCTGCAGCTACAGTAATCAAGATTATCTGTGTCAGAAGTAAGACCAGTGATATATATCTTTGTTTGCTCATACATTTACTTGTTTACCATGCACCTATGGAGGATGTATTGTAGGAAATGAACTGTGATATGTGTTGTGAAGGTTATAAATCAGAAACACAGTTTTTCTCTTTAAATAATGTGTCTGTGTATGCATTTGAACAAAAAAAAACAGCCTTTCAACATAATTTAATGAACTCTAACAAGGTGAAATGAGATAAAGAATCACGACGTCTACTTTACACCGAAATTCTCATTTACTCATTGTAATTTTAAAGGGATGCTTTATCTCCCTCAAAAGCAAATACATGACTAAAATATGCTGTCAGGGAATTCTAACAACCTCAATAATCAAAAAGAATTTTGTTATATTTCTCTGCCATGGTATTAAAATAAAGCAAGATTTGCATATTTGATTAATTTATTTTAAAGTATTATAGTTTTTGAAATTTTTCAATGACCACATAAAATATGCATTCAAAAATACATTCTCTTGAGTTCAGAAGTTAAAAATTAACGTTGAGGCATTTGGACTTATCATAAGCAACATTTGTGTTAAAATATTGCCTGAAACAATTAATGATATTTATGACATTCATGCTTGTCTTTATTTGTATTTTGTCTTCAATTCCTTAAAGAAGTCTTATAAGAGGGATTACAAACTGTTATTTAAAAGCTAAATAATGACCTATGTAGAGATACTGTTGGACAATATAAATGTTATAGAGTTGAAGGACATATAAACTTATGATTTATAGATGGCAGGATATTACTGAGTATTTTTCTACCATTTTGTATATAATATGCTTCAAATTGCAGAGCTGTAAGGAACAAGTACAGCATAGGTCAAACCTATATTACCAGAAATTGAATCACTTCTAACTGAAACATGGTATATAATGTGAATGAAATTTTCATGGTGTCACAGTTCATGAACTGTGTACTTGCCTTATGTCTACATGTGGGAAAAAACTATTCTTTTTTTATTTCTAAGACTTTGCCTAAAGGAAAAGCACAAATTTTTAACACCTCATTTCAGCAAAACATCAATGATTGACATTTTATTCTAAAGGACAGATTTGCTTTCACTTAGATAGACTCCTTAGCACATGATTTCTTCATGTGTTAATATAAGTAGTATTCTAAATAACTCCAGTCTTATAAATTAGTAAGTATATTCTTAGGATATTAAATGAAGTTCTGCTTTAAATATACCTTTATATTTATTATTAATTAACCCTAACTGTGAAGAAAAAAATAATTTTTAGACAACAGGTTGGATTAGGTGGTTTTGTTTCTCTTTTGCAGACTTTCAGCCTTTTTGAAGAAATATATTTACAATTACGGAACATAAAATATGAGCTTTTTATATATTATTAAAGGCTTTAAATAAAAATCTTTTACATCAATCATTAGTAAGAGCAAAGGACTGACATAATACATGCCTATGTCTTTGAACTGTAATGAAAGCCATCACAACAGGAAATTGTTTAATTCAGCAATATAAATTCTAAATTTT
This sequence comes from Homo sapiens, assembly GCF_000001405.40. Classification (NCBI taxonomy): domain Eukaryota; kingdom Metazoa; phylum Chordata; class Mammalia; order Primates; family Hominidae; genus Homo; species Homo sapiens. The sequence continues at coordinate 85,253,256 of NC_000005.10, forward strand.
CCCTTATATATGGAAAGAAAACATGCTTAGTAATGTAAAAAGTTGCATCTTATAACAATGAGTTATTAAGCCAAAATTTCCCTAGAAAATACATTTCTAGAGCATGTTTTAGAATCTTTAAGCCAATAACATAAAATGGATTTCTAAAATTTATTGACCTATGTGAAGTTCATTAAAATAATAAATTTCATTATAAAAAGGCTTCATAGTTACATTATGTAATAAAAATTAAAATTATAGCAAATTCAGAGCTTAGTGAACTTAACTTTGGGCCATTTTAATAGCAAGTGCAAAATATGTTCCTTTTTATTTGAAATTTAATGTACAGAAGCCAAACACTTACATCACATTAATTTTATAGTTTTTGGATACAAATAGGAGAATAATTTTTTCATACCTGCTCCCTGAAAAATAGCTGTCTATATGTTGTATTTTAAGTGGCCATATATGGTAGGATCCAAACAAGAAATAAGAAATTAGATTGAATTGATTTACTATGTTAGCATTATGGTTAATAACTATTTTGATTCAGAATATAGAAGATCATTTAGTAACTGAAGAATCTGAGAGTAAGTATTTCAGCTCAGAAAAGTAACTTCAAGATATACACCTACATTGTCTAACTTATATATCCGTATTGAAATATAAGCTCCTTCTAATTTAATCTAATATTCCTACTTTTAGCAATAAAATGAGGGCTTAGGTATTTTTTTAGTCACCAATTGTAGGAGACAGTATAGCAAAACACCTTAAAAGTGCTAAATTTTCAGATATTTCTCATAAAGTTCCAACCCAATTATACATATTTATTGATTCTCCAAATTAGCCTGATGATACTTTAAAAATCAACTTATAGTTCTGAATTGCATTCTTTTAAGTTAAGATGTTGTTATGGAAAGTTATTAGATATTACATTTCCTAGAGGAAACACAAATATTGTACATTTAAATGGTATTTCTTTAATGAATAAATAAATAAATTTGAAATATACACCCCAACTCCCAAAACAAAGGCCTCGTATTTCTCTATGTGACTCTTCTTTTTATGGCATGGGAGTAAAAATAGATGAGTTTAAAGAAAAATTTTTTGTCTCTATTTTAAACTCAGGTTTACTTTACACTTTACTGTACATTAAAACAATTGACAGTGTTGCCCAGGTTATAATTATGACCCCATGTGGTTCAATTAATTTATGATGTTAAAGGAGGCATCATTTAACATCAAATAGTAATTTAAAAGAAGTCCAAACTTTACTTATTTTCCTCAAATAACACTAATGGGCCTCAACTCAATGCTCCAAGCAACATCTTTAGAATCTCCTTCACTACTTCGTAAATCTGAAACTGATAAAAGACCAATCCACTCACATACAAGTCTTCATGCTCTGTCTGGTATTTTGATGTACATACTATTTGTTTGTGTTAGGTTTGACTCAGGTGCTCTCTCTTTTTTTTTTTTTTTTTTCACTGTGGTTGGACAAAGATTCTCCTTTTGTGGTCAGTAGAGGATGGTTTTGTAGAAAGGCAGATACGCTTATGTATTAAGTAATCTTTTGAATTTTACAAACAATTACAAATTACAAATTTTACATGTCTATAGAACAATATCTAATTCCACTGACCATTTTAATGTTCTTGGGGCTCCTAAAATTTGAAGTGTGATCCAGATGTCTATGTTTATTCTATAATATTTGCAATCTTGTGCCCTCTTATCTTCTCTCACTACATTCTTTTCCACATCAATACCAAAATTGTTCCTACAGAACCTTACAATGTTGCAGAGCCCTTTATGACAACTAGACATTACCCAAATTAAGTATAAACTTCAGGAGGATTTTCATATTAATGGGAGATAATGCCTTAATAAAACAAAGCAATATAGAATATTAACATTTCAGACACTAAGGCAAGTTATTATGGTAGACAGTTTTGAGCAAGAAGTTTTTAACCTGGTTGATTTTGTAGAAGTAAACATGGCTTAATTATACATAACTATCTGTGAAAAAAATGGTGGGCCTTTAATAGAAATGCATAGAAATGCTTTAAAAATACTGGAACCATTTGTAGATTTACTATGCATTTACAGCTCTACTATGCTTGTACAGACTATGAAAATAATGATTTAGCCTCAGTAACTGATGTGATCATTTGTATACAATTCTTTCTTCCAAAACCTCTAGTCTTTAGCACAGTTGGCACTAACTGCTACAACTAATTTTTACTACCTGAATTATTTTCTTTACAGATGTACTAGAAAATAAAATGCGGGTTTTTTTTTTCTGTCTCACCTCACAATTTTTTTTAATGGGAATTAACCTCCTCTCCCTCCCTCTTTTGTTTGTTCAAGTGGCAAATTGTACAGAACAAGAAATGCAAAACTATATGTGCCACCATTGTGTATTTCATCAGAAATATACCAAACAATGATAATTCAGTCTACTATTTTTACTCTCTGTGAACATAACCTCAGAAATCTTCCCAACCCAGTGGTTTATGAACCATCTAAAACCCAACTGGAAGTGACATAAAAATTGAACCTCTCTCATCCCAGTTGCCTGGTAACATTTCACAAATTATTTAACACTTCTATTCTTCATTTCCCAATAAATATAACAGAAAATAGTGCATTGTTCAAATAGTTTCAGTGAGGCAGGAAGACCTATTAATCCCTTCTGCTTTAGAAAAATTTCTAGCTACTCCCTGAGAACAGACAAGGGTTGACAAAAATAATTGCAATTGTTATCTTTAAAAGATTTTCATTTAAGGTGATGTAGTCATTTGAAATTTTTGGACACATGCCCTCATATCTAAACACAATTGCAAAGATAATTAAAATATTAAAGGAAAAATCAACCATAGAAAATCAACATAGAAAGCACAGGTAAGGAAAATCCCAAGCTTCACAGGTCACAAAAGGAAAACTGCAAAGGAACATTTTGAACGTGGGTGAAACAGTTTATGCTAGCTTCAGGTCCCGGAGTAAACAGTTATAGACATGAATTTGTTGTCTGAAGTGTAATGGGTAAGTGGAACTAGCATTTCTGCCTGTCACCAGGGGTTAGGTGGCATCTCCTTCATTTTTAAAAGTAGGCTAAAGATGTATTATTATCTTTCCTTTGACTATGACTTTGCGTCAAGGATGTGTGCAAAAACCAAACATTTATTTCTCTTCAGATTTCTGGCCAAGTAACAGACTCAGCAAAATCATCAGCAACTTCATAGGCACCCCACCCTACTGTTACAAAATGTGGTTGTAATCTGGATACATAGGTAGAAGAAAGCACAAAGCAGAAAAAGTTACACATGAAAATAAAAAATATATTCAAATAGTAAAAATAAATTTAAAATTATAAAATAAAAACAGAGAAAACATAATCCGAGAAAATAAAGCAGGTAAAAGACAATACTAGAAATTCTGTAAATGTTAAAATGTAGTGTGGCATTTTGTCTTTTCAAAGACAGTTACAACAGTAATGCTTATCTCACATATTCTATTCCCATCAAGAGTTGGGGTATATTTTTCCAACCCCTGTATTTGGGGATGAGCCTATGACTACCTTGATCAATAGAATATGGGAGAAGAGGCTTATGCCAGATATTGTATTAGTCCTGGGCAGCTTCTACATCCCACTCTATGGAATTCTGGAGCTCTAAGAAGTTCAGTCTAATCTGAGGAGAAGTGGGGGCATGAGAAGAAATACTTAGACACTAGATATGGAAGTGAAGAAGCCATCAAGAACATTCAGCCAGGCTAGTTATTAAATAACCTCAAAGCCCCATCTGCAAGCTGACTGCAAATGTGTGAGCAACATCAAGTGTTGTCTAAGTCCAATCAAAGCACAGAACCATGAGTAAAGTAACAAGATTTTGAGGTGGTTTGCTCTGCTGCCATAGATAGCAAGATCGTATAGTAACTAAAATGAAAATAAGACAACAAATGAAGTAAGTAGAAAATGATCATAGTTAAAGTGAGAACTTAAGGAATTGGAATGTAAGACTAAGAATTAACAGAGGTTAGTAACATAAACAAGCTGTTAAGAAAAAAGGGAAATATAATAGAAAAGTTTAAAATTGTACCCTACCGAAGCTTCAGATATGGAAAATTGAAGCAATGACAAACAAGAGATAAATAAATGTAAGATAGTGAAACAACTTTCTAGAATTAAAGGCATAGTCCTAAAAATCAAGTATAATTTTTAATAATAAGTGATATATGAAAAAAAATCATAGCTAGATGCATTTTTTTTATTATACTTTAAGTTCTAGAGTACATGTGCACAACATGCAGGTTTGTTACGTATGTATACATTTGCCATGTTGGTGTGCTGCACCCATTAACTCGTCATTTACATTAGGTATTTCTCCTAATGCTGTCCCTCCCCCCTTCCCCCACCCCACACTAGATGCATTGTTAAGGCTGAATTGTATACTCCATAACCCATAGGTGGACGCTCTAACCCCTAGTACCACAGAAAGTGACTGTATTTGAATATAGAGGCTTTAAAGATATTTTTAAGTTAGGAGTCATTAAGACTGGCCCTAGTCCAATTCCAATGTTGTCTTTATAAGAAGAGAATATTCAGATACACACAGACACACCAAGAATGAGGAAAGATCATGTAAGGACACAATGAGAAGGTGGCCATCTGCATGCCAAAGGGAGAGGCTTCAGAAGAAACCAAATTGCTCAATATATTGATATTAGACTTCAATTTAAATGAGTAAGCAGCTTACTAAAAATTTTCAAATATACATAGCAATCACTAAAATAGCTACAAGAGAAAACTGGGAAAATTGTAATCATTGTTGGAAATTTAGGAGACTAACAACAGCAGTTTTAAGCTGACAAACATTAGAAAAATATAAAAATCCTGAATAACAAGGTTAAATATATTAATATAGATGTAGATGGTTGTAAGTAAAATATAGACAAGTAGATACTGAGGTAGCTGTAACACTCAAACAAAATTTATAAAGTTATGCTTAAGAATATGTGGAATATTTCCAAAGTCTACTACTTATAATATGACTCAACGAATTATGTTTTGATGCAATTTAGAACAGTTTCTGGACACAGAAAAAAATAGAAATTAAAATTCAGTTAAAAAATTAAATTAGAAGTCAAAAACAAAATAAGAGAGTAATACAAGACCACTATACTTGGAACATTTTTAAAAATGAACTAATAATACGTGAGTCTGGAGAAATCATGACAAAAATATTATGTTTTGTATTTGAACCAGAATAAAAAATTATATATTGAATATTATGGGTTACAGTTGAATAATTACTTGGAGATTAATTGGTAATCTAAAGCACATGTATTTGAAAAAGGATTGGAAAGAAATGCTAAGCCAGAAACTAGAAAAAGATCTTAAAATAGAAATTAAGAAATAACAGATAAATAAAAATTATAAAATATGAATGAAGAAAAATAGGACATGGCCAGAATTAAAAATACTTCTTTGGAATATTAATGATAATATTAATCACAATTAAAATAGTAATATTTGGTGGTGATTGACCTTTTACTATGTGACAGGTGCTTTTCTAAATGCTTCCTATTTACTACCTTATGCAGTCCTGGGAAGCTGGTACTTTAAATACAATCTCCTTTTTTTTTAGGTAAGGAAACAATCATGAGTAGATTTTATAATTTGACCAGTCTATATACTAAGTGTTGGAAACATAATTTTATTCATATAAAATTCCCCCAGAAAAACTGATGAACAAAACAAGCAACATAGGACAGATTTAAAATATCTTGATTAAATATAAGGGAAAAATAAGTGATTGTAGATTTTTTAACTCCCAAAAGAATAGTCTATGTAATTTTTAAGCATTCCTATGTAATCTTAGAGAAATTTTATTGTTATCTCAAAAGCATTTGAGTTCAAAATTTACCTTTAAAATTTTAGAACCTCAATATCGAATATCTATTAGGAAATTAGAAATATAATTAAATAATTTTTCTGCTTCTCTAATTATATATCAAATCTAAATTAATTTATATATAAATTTAACCAAATACTCAAAGGACAGATATTGTCAACTTTTTTGAAGAGAAAATTAATGTTGTCAAATTTATTTTATAAAAATAGAATAATCATGATAATGAAAGCAATAAAGAAACACATATTAAAATCAGGGACTGAAATCTTTATTAAGCCAAGTGTGAAAACCTCAGTAAAAGTTTAGCTAATTTAATCGAGTGATTATACTTAAAAATTAGATCACGTTCAAACAGGTTTATTTCATGAATGCAAAGATGGTTCTTTCCTGAAATTGTATTTATGAAAAAATATCTCACTGGATGGCAAAATTAAAGTAGTGGTTGTCACAAATAAATACATAAAACCATATGAAATATAATGCATGCTATTGAAAACAATAAAAGCAATAGTGCTAAATTACTCAAAGCAATCCTATTAAACTGAAAGACCAAGATTGGCATGTCCACCAAGGTCTCTTTGATTCATTTATCAATTTTGTATGGAGAGATTTAGCAAGATAATAGGTCTATAAATTAAGTCAGAGATACAATATTGGAAAAGAGGAGGTAATATTAATTGTCTTCCTAAAATTTAAAAAAGAAACAAATAATTACTAAGAGTAATGAAAAAATGTTTAGACAGCTGGTGGCTAGACTACCAACCAACGAAAATAGCAATGTTCCTTTAAGATAATAACAATTCTAAAATAAAAATTGAAATAGAAAAGACTTAACTTACAGTAGCCATAATGTCTATGGGTAACTACAAATGAATCTTAAACAGCAACAAAATAAAAATTATTCCCAGAGCAGCTTGATTAAACCACAGTTGGGAAAAAGATAATTGTGAAGCAAAAGCCTAAGAAAAGATTTGTATAAATAATAAGAATTTAAAAATTCTAAGTGAAAAGACAAAAGACAATAGAAATTGGGTAAAAAATATTCATCGAAAACTGAAAGAAAAAGAAAGCTGATGGGCAAATAAATATATTTAAAAATGCTCTGTCACATGAGTTAGTGGAAACAAATTAAAAGCACAGTAGAGAATAGCATATCAGATTCATTAGTTAAGAAAAAATAAAATACAAAAGCTGACATTACTATGTTATGACACCTTCAAAAGATCAGTAAGATATATTTGACCACAGGTGGGATAGGGTTACGAGTTGTTTTAAGCACTTTGAAAGATCACTTTGGCAACAGGTAGTAAGTATAAATGTGCTAATACTATAAAACTCATGGAATCTGCTTCTGTATATATAGCCTAGAGGTACAAGCTACTTCAGAGTCACTGATCAAAACAGAATGTATTTGGCATCTTAGAAGAATTTCTCACATTCATCTATAATCTCAGGAAATCCTGTATTTCAATTTACCCCAGGAAATTTCAGCTAAAATCACTGGATTACATAGTGGAACACAAAAGCATGCATCATGGTCACAAAGAGTTACTTTCCAATAGATAGAGGAAGTGCTGTGGTAAAACTTTTTGGATTTTTATCTTGATCAGAAAAGAAAATACTATATTTTTAAAGAATTAAAAGAATAAAACTGTGAAGAAAATAAATATCAGAGAAGTTGTTATCATTGGATTGAATGCAAATGGGACTGCCTAAAATGTATGTAATTTAAACTTAATAAATAGCATTTTATACTTGCATAAATGTGTATAGTCTGATAAAGTACACATTTCATACTGAATAAGTAATTAAATAAATGATAACTGATATCTTAAAATGCCTAATATCTTCAATTTATAATAAGCATGAGTTTGTTCCCAAGCACATCTCAACTTGTAACTATTCCTTTTTTAATGCTATGTCAGTATCTCCATTTTTCATTTTCACTTTGTGGCTGGCCTGGTATAAATCTGCTCATGTTTAGTTATATATTACATAGTAGTTATCACTATTTAGTTACACTTTCTGTGTACTCTTCAGTTTCTCTGTAAAATGTTATGGTTCTTTGGGTCAGACTCAGGGCAAGACTGCACAAACAAGGCAACAAAGGTCTTGGCTGTGGCAGAAGTCTTCCAATATCTGATTAAACTATTCAGTCAACTCAAGTTTACTGTAG